>NC_000001.11:55614441-55765956 GCF_000001405.40 Homo sapiens | reverse complement strand
AACTCGTCACTTACATTAGGTATTTCTCCTAATGCTATCCCTCCCCTAGCCTCCTACCCACCGACAGGCCCCAGTGCGTGATGTTGCCCTCCTTGTGTCCATGTATTCTCATTGTTCAACTCCCACTTATGAGTGAGAACATGCAGTGTTTGGTTTCTGTTCTTGTGTTACTTGCTGAGAATGAGGGTTTCCAGCATCATCCATGTCCCTGCAAAGGACAGGAACTCATTCTTTTTTATGGCTGCATAGTATTCCATGGTGTATATGTACCACATTTTCTTTATCCAGTCTATCATTGATGGGCATTTGGGTTGGTTCCAAGTCTTTGCTATTGTGAACAGTGCCACAGTAAACATACGTGTGCATGTGTCTTTATAGTAGAATGATTTATAATCCTTTGAGTATATACCCAGTAATGGGATTGCTGGGTCAAATGGTATTTCTAGTTCTAGACCCTTGAGGAATTGCCACACTGTCTTCCACAATGGTTGAAATAATTTACATTCCCACCAACAGTGTAATTCCTATTTCTCCACATCCTCTCCAGCATCTGTTGTTTCCTGACTTTTTAATGATCACCATTCTAACTGGCATGAGATGGTATCTCATTGTGGGTTTGATATGTAACTGTAACTGGAAATATGCAGTTGACCAGTGATGATGAGCTTTTTTGAATATGTTTTGTTGGCTGCATAAATGTCTTCTTTTGAGAAGCGTCTTGTTCATATCCTTTGCCCACTTTTTGATGGGGTTGTTTTTCTCTTGTAAATCTGTTAAAGTTCTTTGCAGATTCTGGATATTAGCCCTTTGTCAGATGGATAGACTGCAAAATTTTTCTCCCATTCTGTAGGTCATCTGTTCACTCTGATATTTTCTTTTGCTGTGCAGAAGCTCTTTAGTTTAATCAGATCACATTTGTCTATTTTGGCTTTTGTTGCCATTGCTTTTTGTGTTTTAGTCATGAAGTCTTTGCCCATGCCGACGTCCTGAATGGTATTGCCTAGGTCTTCTACAGTTTTTATGGTTTTAGGTCTTACATTTAAGTCTTTAATCCATCTTGAGTTAATTTTTGTATAAGGTGTAAGGAAGGGATCCAGTTTCAGCTTTCTGCATATGGCTAGCCAGTTTTCCCAACACCATTTATTAAATAGGGAATCGTTTTACCATTGCTTGTTTTTGTCAGGTTTGTGAAAGATCAGATGGTTGTAGATGTGTGGCATTATTTCTGAGGCCTCTATTCTGTTCCATTGGTCTATGTATCTGTTTTGGTGACAGCACCATGCTGTTTTTGTTACTGTAGCCTTGTAGTACAGTTTGAAGTGAGGTACCATGATGCCTCCAGCTTTGTTCTTTTTGCTTAGGATTGTCTTGGCTCTTTTTTGTGAGGGCTCTTTTTTGGTCCTATATGAAATTTAAAGTATTTTTTTCCAATTCTGTGAAGAAAGTCAGTGGTAGCTTGATTGGGATAGCACTGAATCTATAAATTACTTTAGGCAGTATGGCCGTTTTGACGATATTGATTCTTCCTCTCCATGAGCATGGAATGTTTTTCCATTTGTTTGTGTCCTCTTTTATTTCCTTGAGCAGTGGTTTGTAGTGCTCCTTGAAGAGGTCCTTCACATCCCTTGTAAGTTGTATTCCTAGGTATTTTATTCTCTTTGTAGCAATTGTGAATGGGAGTTCACTCATGATTTGGCTCTCTGTTTGTCTATTATTGGTGTATAGCAATGCTTGTGATTTTTGCACATTGATTTTGTATCCTGAGACTTTGCTGAAGTTGCTTATCAGCTTAAGGAGATTTGAGGCTGGGACAATGGGATTTTCTAAATATGCAATCATGTCATCTGCAAACAGAGACAATTTGACTTCCTCTTTTCCTAATTGAATATCCTTTATTTCTTTCTCTTGCCTGATTGCCCTGGCCAGAACTTCCAATACTATGTTGAATAGAAGTGGTGAGAGAGGGCATCCTTGTCTTGTGCCAGTTTTCAAAGGGAATGCTTCCAGTTTTTGCCCATTCAGTATGATATTGGCTGTGGGTTTGTCATAAATAGCTCTTATTATTTTGAGATATGTTCCATCAATACCTAGTTTATTGAGAGTTTTTAGCATGAAGGGCTGTTCAATTTTGTCGAAGGCCTTTTCTGAATCTATTGAGATAATCATGTGGTTTTTGTCATTGGTTCTGTTTATGTGAGGGATTATGTTTATTGATTTGCATATGTTGAACCAGCCTTGCATAACAGGTATGAAGCCAACTTGGTAGTGGTGGATAAGCTTTTTGATGTGCTGCTGTATTCAGTTTGCCAGTGAGGATTTTTGCATCAATGTTCATCAGGGATATTGGCCTGAAATTTTCTTTTTTTGTTGTGTCTCTGCCAGGTATTGATATCAGGATGATGCTGGCCTCATAAAATGAGTTGGGGAGGATTCTCTCTTTTTCTATTGTTTGGAGTAGTTTCAGAAGGAATGATACCAGCTCCTCTTTGTACCTCTGGTAGAATTTGGCTGTGAATCCATCTGGTCCTGGCCTTTTTTTGATTGGTAGGCTATTAATTGCTGCCTCCATTTTGGAACTTGTTATTGGTCTGTTCAGGGATTCGATTTCTTCCTGGTTTAGTCTTTGGAGGATGTATGTGTCCAGGAATTTATCCATTTCTTCTAGATTTTCTAGTTTATTTGTATAGAATTGTTTATAGTGTTCTCTGTTGGTAGTTTGTATTTCTGTGGGATTGGTGATGATATTCCCCCTTATCATTTTTTATTGCTCTTATTTGATTTTTCTCTCTTTTCTTCTTTATTAGTCTGGCTAGTAGTCTAACTATTTTGTTGATCTTTTCAAAAAATCAGCTCCTGAATTCACTGATTTTTTTTGAAGGGTTTTTCATTTCTCTATCTCCTTCAGTTCTGTTGATTTGGGGTGGAGAGTTCTGTAGATGTCTGTTAGGTCTGCCTGGTCCAGAGCTGAGTTGAAGTCCTGAATATCCCTGTTAATTTTCTGTCTCATTGGTGTGTCTAATATTGACAGTAGGGTGTTAAAGTCTCCCACTATTATTGTGTGGGAGTCTAAGTCTCTTTGTAGATCTCTAAGAACTTGCTTTATTAATCTGGATGCTCCCGTATTGGGTGAATATATATTTAGGATAGTTAGCTCTTCTCGTTGAATTGATCCCTTTACCATTATGTAATGCCCTTTGACTCTTTTGATCTTTGTTGGTTTAAAGTCTGTTTTATCAGAGACTAGGATTGCAATCCCTGCTTTTTTGGCTCTCCATTTGCTTGGTAGATCTTCCTCCATCCCTTTATTTTGAGCCTATGTGTGTCTTTGCACATGAGATGTGTCTCCTGAAGACAGCACACTGATGGGTCTTGACTCTTTATCCAATTTGCCAGTCTGTCTCTTTTAATTGGAGCATTTAGCCCATTTACATTTAAGGTTAATATTGTTATGTGTGAATTTGATCCTGCCATTATGATGCTAGCTGGTTATTTTGCCCCTTAGTTGATGTGGTTTCTTCATAGCATCAATGGTCTTTACAGTTTGGTATGTTTTTGCAGTGGCTGGTACCAGTTGTTCCTTTCCATATTTAGTGCTTCCTTCAGAAGCTCTTGTAGGGCAGGCCTGGTGGTGACAAAATCTCTCAGCATTTCCTTGTCTGTAAAGGATTTTCTTTTTCCTTTACTTACGAAGCTTAGTTTGGTTGGATATGAAATTCTGGGTTGAAAATTCCCTAAGAATGTTGAATATTGGCCCCCACTCTCTTCTGGCTTGTAGGGTTTCTGTCTAGAGATCCACTGTTAGTCTGATGAGCTTCCCTTTGTGGGTAACCCAACCTTTCTCTCTGGCTGCCCGTAGCATTGTTTCCTTCATTTCAACCTTGGTGAATCTGACAATTATGTGTCTTGGGGTTGCTCTTCTTGAGGAGTATCTTTGTGGTGTTCTGTGTATTTCCTGAATTTGATGTTGGCCTGCCTTGCTAGGGTGGGGAAGTTCTCCTGGATAATATACTGAAGAGGGTTTTCCAACTTGACTCCATTCTCCCTGTCACTTTCACATACACCAATCAAACATAGATTTGGTCTTTTTACATATTCCCATACTTCTTGGAGGCTTTGTTCATTTATTTTCACTCTTTTTTCTCTAATCTTGTTTCGTCACTTTATTTCATTGAGTTGATCTTCAATCTCTGATATCCTTTCTTCCACTTGATCCATTCAGCTATTGATACTGTGTATGCTTCTGAAAGTTCTCATGCTGTGTTTTTCAGCTCCACCAGGTCATTTATGTTCTTCTCTAAACTGGTTATTCTAGTTAGAAATTCATCTAACCTTTTTTCAAGGTTCTTAGCTTCCTGGCATTGGGTTAGTACATGCTCCTTTAGCTCGGTGGAGTTTGTTATTACCCACCTTCTGAAGGCTACTTCTGTCAATTCATCAAACTCATTCTCCATCCAGTTTTGTTCTCTTGCTGGTGAAGAGTTGTGATCCTTTGGAAGAGAAGAGGTGTTCTGGTTTTTGGAATTTTCAGCCTTTTTGCACTGGTTTCTCCCCATCTCTGTGGATTTATCTACCTTTGGTCTTTGAAGTCGTTGACTTTCAGATGAGGTCTCTGAGTGGGTGTCCTTTTTGTTGATGTTGATACTATCCCTTTCTGTTTGTTAGTTTTCCTTCTAACAGTCAGGCCCCTCTGCTGGAGGTCTGCTGGAGTTTGCTGGAAGTCCACTCCAGAACCTGTTTGCTGGGGTGTCACTGGCAGAGGCTGCAGACCAGCAAAGATTGCTGCCTGTTCCTTCCTCTGGAAGCTTCATCCTGGAGGGCACCTGCCAGATGCTAGCCAGAGCTCTCCTGTGTGACATGTCTGTCAGCCTCTACTGGGAGGTATCTCTTAGTCAGGATACACAGGGATCAGGGACCTACTTGAGGAGGCAGTCTGTCCCTTATCAGAGCTCAAACGCTGTTCTGATACATCCACTGCTCTCTTCAGAGCTGCCAGGTAGGGGTGTTTAAATCTACTGAAGCTGCGCCCACAACCACCCCTTCCCCCAAGTGCTCTGTCCCAGGGAGGTGGGGGTTTTATCTGTAAGTCTCTGACTGGGGCTGCTGCCTTTTTTTCAGAGATGCCCTGCCCAGAGAGGAGGCTGTCTGGCCGCAGTGGCCTTGCTGAGCTGCAGTGGGCTCTGCCCAGTTCTAACTTCCCACGGCTTTGTTTACACCGTGAGGGTGAACCCACCTACTGAAGCCCCAGCAATGGTGGATGCCCCTCCCCCCACCAAGCTTGAGTGTTCCAGGTCGAGCTCAGACTGCTGTGCTGGTGGGAGAATTTCAAGCCAGTGGATCTTAACTTCCTGAGCTCTGTGGGGGTAGGTCCCGCCAAGCCAGACTACTTGGCTCCCTGGCTTCAGCCCCCTTTCCAGGGGAGTGAATGGTTCTGTCTCGCTGGCATTACAGGTGCCACTGGGGCATGAAAAATAACTTCTGCCACTAGCTGGGTGTCTGCCCAAACAGCCACCCCATTTTGTGCTGGAAACCCAGGGCCCTGGTGGTAGAGGCACCGGAAGGAATCTCCTAGTCAGTGGATTGCGAAGAACATGGGAATAGTGCAGTATCTGGGCCAGAGTGCACAGTACAGTCCCTAATGGCTTCGGTTGGCTAGGAGAGGGAGTTCCCTGACCCCTTCTTCTTCCTGGGTGAGGCGATGCCCCACCTGCTTCGGCTCACCCTCCTTGGGCTGCAGCCACTGTCCAACTAGTACCAATGAATGAACCGGATACCTCAGTTGGAAATGCAGAAATCATCTGCCTTCTGCGTTGATCTCACTGGGAGCTGCAGACCAGAGCTGTTCCTATTCAGTCATATTGCCAGCAACCCTAGTGATATTTCTTAAAGTATTTTCTCTGATAAAAAGCCACTCCAACTCTCTCATGGTTATTGTTTGTATGGTTTGTCTTTTTCCTTTTTGAAAAATTTCAATTTATTTATCTTTAAATCTAAGACTTAAAGATGGATCTTGCATTTTTATCCAGTCTGACAGTCGAGGCCTCTTGATTAAAGTATTTAGTTCACTCATATCTAATGCATTTATTGATATGGATGGGTTTATGTCTACCACTTTGCTATTTGTTTTATACATGTCTCATGATTTTTGTTCCCCTTTCTGTCCTTTATTTTCTTTTCTTGTGTTATACAAATATTTTCAGTACACTATTTTAATTACTTTGATGTTTTAACTATATTTTTGAAGTGTTTTTAGCGGTTGCTCTAGGGATTTTAATATTATCTGTAACATCACAACTCATCTCAAGTTAATACTGACTTTATTCCAGCAAAAGATAGCAACTTTAAGCCAGTATAGCTTCATTTCCTTCCCCCTTCTTTTCATTTCATTCCCCCAATATTGTCATCCGTATCACAACTATATGTGTTGTAAATTCAATTTTACTGAATTATAGCTATTGCTTATGCTTTTTTTGAATAAATTAATAGATGAAATTAATAGGTGAATTTCTTTTTTTAAAGAAATTAATAGATGAATAAAAGTGCATATTCTGGAATTTTTCATTCGTACTGTGGATCCAGGTAATCATACAGTATCATCTCCTTTCAACCTTAAGGATTTTAGTATTTCTTGTAGGTCAAGTATGCTGGCAATGAATTCCTTTAGCTTTTGTTTATTTGGGGAAATTTCTTCATTTCACTTTTAACTTTTGAAGAATAATTTTACTGGGTATAGAATTCTTGATTGACAATTTTTCTTTCAACATTTTGAATAAATCATCCACTTCTACCTGGACTCTCTTGTAACCATGAATTGTTTCATTGTATATGATGAGTTATTTTTTCTTTGTTTTCAATATTTCTATTTCCTTTGGCTTTTAACAATTTGACTATGTTGTGTCTAGATGGGGTTACCTTTGTGTTTATTCTACTTGAGGTTCATTAAAATTATTAGATCTGTGACTTAAAATTTTCATTAAATGTGTGGAGTTTAAAGCATTATATTTCAAAATAGATTCTTTTTCTTCTTCTGGGTCTCTGACACATGTATGCGAACACCTGGTATTGTCCCATAGGTACCTGAGACTATGCTCAATTTAACATTTCCCACTCTTATTTAGTCTGAATCATTTCTACTTATCTTCAAGTTTACTGATTCTTTTCTCTATCCTCCCAACTACACTGTTGAGGACATCCAGTGATTTTTTTTAAAATTACTTTCAATTATTTTACTTTACTAATCTAGAATTTTCATTTGATTCTTTCAAATATCTAATTTTCTACTTATTAGATTCTGTTTGTTGATTTACTGCTAGGCTATTTTTCTTTAATTCATTGAACATAGCTTGCTTTAAATACTTAAACATATCTATAAAGGCTACTTTGAAGTTTTTGTCTAGGAAATATAACATCTGGATTATTGCATCTCATCCCAGTTATTCTGTGTGAGTTGAGGAATACATTTAATGTGTCAGGCAATTCTCAAGCCTCCCTTGGCGTTCTTTTTCTTTTTGGTGGTGGGGGCTCTCTTTGGTCTTTCCATGCATGTGCCCTTTTCCATACAGCAGAAAAGTTTGGAAAAGCTTAACTTGGACTTTCCATGGCTTTTTTTCCACAATCTCTCCATAGAGCTTCTGACTGGTCTGTCAGTCAACCCAAATTGGAATGGCAGTCTTGGTCTTTCAGTGCTGTGGGTTGTCTCCATCCAGTCCCAACTAAGTCTGCCATTTTAGCTAGCAAAACGATAAGTTTTTGCTTCCTTCCCCAAATTGAATTCATTGCTTCTGGCAGTAAAGCTGCAAGGCTTGGTAGTCAATTCCAGGCCGAAAAACCTACTATTTCCCCCAGTAGTCTGGTGGTGGAAGAAAGAGGGGAGAAACCCCAGACAAGAGTACCACAGAGTTCTTATTTTTACCCAAAGCTCTAGCAGTTTTTCAAAAGTAAATGCTTCTCATTTTTTTTGTCTGCCTTTAGTCAGTTCCTAGTGCCCTGAAGTAATTTTTTTTTACAATTTTGTCTAGTCTTATTTTTTTTATGTAGAAGAAAATTACCAATTGCTTTGCTCACCATTACTGAAAGTAAAGTCCTTCTGTTTCCTTCTGCTTCAATGAAAGATAATACCTACCTCAGATTTCTTAGTGTGAAGTATCTAACTTCACATATTACAAGCATATATCAGTCATGCAGTATTCCACAATTTTGCTGACTTACTATACTGAGGATGTAGGCACAGCTTGCAGGTATATTTCAAAGTAAATATAAAAGAAACACTATTCTCAAATCTTTAAACTTGATTATAATTTAATAATAAAATTGAAACATAGTACACCTATATATTTTGCAAACCCATTAAGAAAAAAAATCAGCTTGTTTACTAGCTAAACATAGCTATGGCAGAAATATAAATGGAACAATGTAGAACAAAATACAATTACCAACTGTTCTGAATTATGTTTTTAATTATATTTTTAATGAATATACTATGATGTGTGTATTGGTCAAATTTTAAAATAAAGCATTTTTAATAACTTGGCAAAACTTATAGGTAAAGATTAGAAGGATTTATTGAAAAATGTAAAAGCAATTGACCTGTTCACAGTTGAAGGCTTTCTATTTTATGGCAAAATTTATTATCAACTCTAAAGTTATTATACACATTTTCTAAAGTTAGAACATAATTAATTAGAAATTATCTTTCTATGCTAACATTCTCAGTCAGTTTCAACTACAGGACCCAAAGTATTAGCATCATTATCAACCTGGTATCAGCTTCTTTGAATTGCAGAAAGGAGGTGCTTGTAATATGAGGGAACTTACAAAACTCGAATATAGAAACATTGAAAACACAGGCTGCTTCTATGAATCCATTCATTTTGAGACTTAAGACTTATGCTAGTTCCTTTCCTTTGGAATATCCGAGACAAAAATTAACACAAATTTCTATAAAATCACCCAAAAATAGGATTCTGAGAAGATGGTGGAGTAGGAAACAACAGCAGTCTGTCTCCCCATCTAGACAATGTTTGTGCTGCCAAATCGATCTGATATAACTATTTTGGAATTCTGAAGTCTATTGAAGACTTGAAAATTTCAGGGGAGGGCTTTGATGGTAAATTACCATTAATTTTGGTCCATTTTAGCTCTTAGGACAGTACCCATCCCACCCCCAGACCAGTGGTAGGCAGCTGTTCTTGAAGCAACCTGCATACAGCTTGTGAAAGCTGAAGTATAGGAAAGGACTCTGTCCTCCAAATATCAGGGATCTGTGCTCTGATTGCTGATTTCTGCTACTGATCACAGAGGTGCAGACAAAGGGGCCAGTGGCCATTGTTTTAAGTCCCCTCATATCACAAGCACCTCCCACTCTGGCTGAAGTGACTTCCAGGGGACTTAAAGGGCCAGAATTCTTTCCTCTTGCCCTTTTGTCCTTTTTTCCTTTCTGGGAGGCAGACATTAGAGACTAAGATATTCAAATGCAACTATATATATGAAGAAAATTAAAAAGTGACTTTGCATACCCAGGGAAAGGTTCAGGTTCAGGAAAACCTGTAAAAACCTTAAGTTTATACCTCTGGCTGATCCTTAGCACAGAGACAGCCTAGGACAATCAAAAAACAAAAATAATACAAACAATAACAAAACCAGCACAACCTAGAAAATGGAAAGAGTCTGATTTCCAGAGTTACTACAAATATTCAGTTTTCAACCAAAAAAAAATAATAATAACAAGGCATACAAAGAAATAAAGTATGGCCCTTTCAAAGAAAAAAATAAAAATCAACAGAACTCTCCCTGAAAAAATATCTGATAGCAGATCTACTAGACAAATACTTTAAAACAACTGTATTGAAAATACTTTGAAAACTAAAGGGAGATCTGAAGAAAATCAAGAAAATGATATATGAGCCAAATGGAAATATCAAAGAAAGAGAACCTAAAATGAAACAAAAAAAAATTCTGGGGCTAAAAGGTAGAATAATTGAAATGAAAATTTCACCAGGGGGACACAAAGGCAGATTTGAGTAGAAGACTAAAGAATCTGTGAAACTGAACATGGGATGATAGAAATTATGAAGTCTTAGAAAAAAGAGAAAAAAAAGAAAAAAGAGTAAAGAAAAGTGAATAGTTCAAGGGACCGATGGGATACCACCAAGCAGATCAACATATGCTTTGTCAGAGATACAAAGGAGAAGAAAGGAGCAGAGAGAATATTTGAAAATGTAATGGCTGAAAACTTCCCAAGTTTAATGAAATATATAAATATAAACATCCAAGAAGCTCAAAAAACTCCAAGGAGGATGAACTTAGGCCCATACAAAGACACATTAAAATCAAACTAAAGACAAAGAGAATTTTGAAAGCAGCAAGAGAAAAAGAATGACTCATTGCATATAAAGTATCCTCAATGAGATTATTGGCAGATATCAAAAACTTTGAATATATTCGTACACTTCCTTCCGGCCTCCAAAATATTAGAAGTACCTGTCAAGCACAAATCTTATATCTGGTATAACTGTTCTTCAAAAGAGAGGAAGAAATTAACACTTCCAGATAAACAAAAGCTGAGGGAGTTTATTACCACTAGACTTTTCCTGCAAGAAATGCTCAAGGGAGTCCTGCAGGTTGAAGTATGAGGACACTAGACAGTAACTTGAAGCCATATAAAGAAATAAACACCTCAGTAAAGGTAAATACGTGGGCAACTATAAAACCTAATATTATTGTAACAACAGCTTGTAACTTATTGTTTTCTACATGATTTAAATGTACTTCCTAAAAATGTGTACTTTTAGAAAAACAGTCTAAAAGCTAGTATTACTGTAACTTTGGTTCGTAACTCCATATTTTGCTTTCTACATAATTTAAGAGACTTGTGCACTTAAATAATTAGTTTATGGTTTGAGGCACACAATGTCTAAAGATATAATTTTGTGACAACCAAAGGGGTGGAAATTGAGCTACAGAGGAGCAGAGTCTCTGTGTGCTTTCAAGTTAAACTGGTATAAATTCAAATTAGAATGTTATAATTTGAGAATGTAAAGTGTAATTCTTGTGGAACCACAAAGAAAATAGCTATAGAATATACACAAGGGAAAATGAGAAGGTAATTTAAACATTTTACTACAAAAAATCAAAGTACAAAAGAAAACAGTATGGCAGGAAATGAGGAACAGCAAAAGCTTTAAGGCATATAGAAAACAAATAGTAACATGACATAAATCCTTCCTTATCGGTAATTAAATATAAAATGGATTAAACTCTTCAATCAAAATGTAGAGATAGACAGGTTTTTCTATCCTTTTTGCCAATCTCTTATATTTGGAGACTGAATTTTACCTAGTCTTGGGGTACAGAAATCCCTACACCAATCAATGAAAATAAAATTGATCATTGATCAGTAATATTCTTGGGATATATGGCAAAAGAAAGCAAAAACAACAAAATATTCTGGGGATATACTTTAAAAAACAAGACCAAACAGGATCCCATCAGGTGGGGAAAATACAGCTAAAGATCAGTTTATATTAAAAAGTTTTAAAATGTGAAGAAATAAATGATTATGGAATAACAATTAACAGCCAAAGAGAGTGAGAGGATCAGACAATCCCCTCCCCAAACTGGAGATAATTAGATTAAAATTTTTAACTTGAAAGGGAAAATATCAATGTTTAAAATATATAAAAACTGCACATATCACAGCTACAAAGAATATAACATATAGTTTACTTTGACATTATATACCAATATCTGCTTCTCCTCTTCTTTCTCATCCCCAGGAAGAATGTATTTTCTAGCTACATTATAGATAGATGGAGGAATGTGACTCATTCTGTCTGATAGTTGTTATCAGAAACATCTGTCATTTTGGAGTCAAAGCACTAAAATCTGGTGCCTGACTCCTCATGCTGTATTGGTCTGCTCAGGCTGCCATAACAAAATACCAAAGACTGGATGGCTTAAACAACAGAAATTTGTTTTCTCATAATTCTGTAGATGAGAAATCTGAGATCAAGGCAGATTCAGTCCCTGATAAGGGCTTCCTGACTTGTGGACAGTCACCTTCTCACTGTGTCCTCACATGGTGGAGAAAGAGAGAGCAAATTTTCTGTCTCTTCTTGTAAGGTCATTAATTCCATTACCAGAGCTTCACCATTATGGCCTCATCTAACCCTAATTACCTCTCAAAGACCTTTACCTCCAAATCATCACATTGTGGGTTAGGGCTTAAACAAATGAATTTGGGGGTGAAAGTACACAAACATTCAGTCTGTAACACATATTTTCTTCCCCTGCCATCATGACTGAGAAACCACCTGTTTCAGATTACACAGAAACAAAATGTTGGTGGTCCCATCATCTTAGATTTATAAGTAACTATGTGGAAGGGACCATTCCACTAATTTTGTCAGGACATGAAACATAAACAAAATCCTGTTGTTTTAAGACAAGTTTAGGATGGTTTGTTGTTGCAGCATAACCTAGCCTAATCTTATCTAAGACACTGTGGAGAAAAAGATCAATGTGAAAGAGAATGAAATAGATTATAGACACAATGAAGAAAATAGAAAAATGCAAATGAAGAATTAGTAAATGAAAAATCTGACAAATTACTCAGAATGCAGCAGAGCAATTATACCAGAGGTCCTAAACACAGCAATAAGTCAAAACTCTGTCTTAAATACAAAAATACAAAATACAGAATATCAAGACTGGAGAAGATAAGAAATAAAATTGTATCATAAGCAGAGATAAAATTATCTACTTAAAATCCAAGAGAAACTAAGATTTCATCATGATTTCAGGTTACTGTATCAACAAACAAAATTTGGTTGTTGCTGTAAACCTGAAAAAATTTAGAAACTGTAAACACCATTTACAATACAACAATACAAAGCACTTAGACATAAATCATTCAAAACATATGTATCTGTTGACATCTTTACTAAGGAAATTATAAAACTTTATTGAAGAGCACAAAAAATGATCTAAATAAATGTAGAGAGAAATCATGTTGGCTGGGCAGGGTGGCTCACGCCTGTAATCCCAGTGCTTTGGGTGGCCGAGGTGGGCGTTATCCCTTGAGGTCAGGAGTTCAGGAGTTCGAGACCAGTCTGGCCAACATGGTGAAACTTCATCTCTACTAAAAATACAAAAATTAGCTGGACGTGGTGGTGCATGCCTGTAGTGACAGCTACTCAGGAGGCTTAGGCGAGAGGATCACTGAAACCTGGGAGGTGGCAGTTGCAGTGAGCCAAGATTACAGCACTGCACTCCAGCCTGGGTGACAGAGTGAGACTCTGCTCTGTCTCAAAAAATAAATAAATAAATAAATATTTTTAAAAATCATGTTTATATCAGGGAAGACAGTCATACTGATGACATTTTTCCATAAATTAATATAAAAATTATATAATTTCAATGTGATATCTCTAAAATGGGCTTTTCAGAAAGTCAGGATGTTGATCACAATGTTTTATAATAGACTGAAGGGTCAGGAATAACAAATCCAATGGAAGAAGTAGATGTACCTTACCAGATATGAATAGTCATGAAAAACCAGTAGGGTATTAACACAGGGATAGAAAAACCATGAGAAAAAGAATCTTTATAAAAGGATCTATACAAATATTGGAACCATGAAGATAATATAGGACATTAGATGTCTGTTAGAAAAGAAGGACTAATCAATAAATATTGGGGAAATTGGTTATGTGGAAGAAAGTAAAATTAGATTTTTTTAAATTTAAAATTTATAAAAGCAAATTCCAGAAGGTTTGAATCCACAAAGGTAAAAGCAAAACTCTGAAACTGTTAGGCAAGAGAGAAAATATCTCATGCCTTCAGAGTAGGGAAAGATTTTTTGTAAAACACAAAGTACATAAAAAAAGAGATTGATAAAACTGAGTAAATTAGAAATACAAATGTTTTAATGAAAGCCAGCATACTTGAAGAGGAAAGACAAGATAGGATACATCTGGCATGCAGATGTAGTAACAGTTTTTAAAATGTATGGGAATGATACCAACTTCAGGAGTGCTCTGACCTCGAAGACGGATAAAGGAACAGGCTGGAGGAGCCAGGCTTTAGTTGTATATGGAATTGTATTCTTGGACATGAGAGAAATGCAGCACATTTTGCAACATGATTCTATTAAATCTGGATAATGAATATACCTACATGTTTTCTGATTTTTGTATAGTTGGAATATTTCATAATTAAAAGAATAGCTTAAGTCTATAATAATCACTCCTACCTCTGTGCTACTCTTGTACTGAGCCACACTCTCTTGTTATACTCTGCTTCTGCGGGCATAGAGGTGAGAAAAAACTGCAAATAAATCCTAAGTTGTTTACGGTAGTAGGCAGTCTCCCATACCCTTACAGTACCCAGTATACGTGCGTGCTCAATAAATGTTTATTGATAAGAGATGTCCTTACTTCCCAAGATTCCCTGTGCTTTCAAAGCTCAAAAGACCTGAAACTCTCAAAGCTCCCTGTACTTTTCCATTCCATCCAACATTCATCAAACTTGACTATAAATACTCAGTTAACATCTACTTTGCATTGTGAGGACAGGGAGGGTATCTGGTATATAACACCCCCAGGTTATGTTCTTATGAACTGAAACTAATTTATAAAGTTCTTAGTATCCATTCTTCACTATCGGTAACTATACAAGATTAGCCATTCCCACCAGACATGAAACATAAATTGGGTTCACCTCATCCATTACTTGCCTTCAAGAGTGACATTCCAGGTCTGCTCCTTCTTGGTTCCTTACCACTGAACTCTGCCCATCTGAAGACCACCTTTCAAAGTGTTTGAACTCAGGTTACCCTCCAACTTTAGTGACCCAGCTCTGTACCTAACTCATTACCCCTTTCTCTCAGACTCCACCTGGAATCCTTTTCATCATCCTCTTAACTTGGGCCATCCAGAAAGAATAATTTGGCCTGAGGAAAAGTTTGTACTTGCATTGATTTTAATATTGGGCCATTTGGATTTAGCAACCTGCCTACAAGAAAACTATCACTCAGAGCCACACAACTGGACAGGTCCTACCCATGAAGGCACCAAGAAAGCCCTTAGAATCCCTCAAACTTGAATCAATCCCAAATGGCCAGTTTCTGAACCACATAAAAATGGCTGGTGGCCAGAAATGACTCTAGGACTGCTTGACTTGGTGCCCTGGAGCCAGGCCCTGCGTTGGGCAGGGACAACCTTGTGGTTGTCAAACAGTAACAACAATGCTTACCAGTGCTGAAAACCATGCTACATTGGACTAAGAAAGCTGGGATGGGTGAAATGTGCCCTCATGGCTGTCTTCAGAAATGGATTTGATGGGGTGCTTGTTTTGTTTTCTTTCCAGTAGCTGAGGTTCAGACACTCCCATCTCCTAGCTCTTAACATTCCTACGTTGGGCAGCACCACTGCAATCTATCACTTACACTCCCTGCTGACATTTTATAGGGGGTTTAAAGCAGCAGGTGTGTGAGATAGAAGCCATTGTCAATCATTTTATGAAAAATGCTCCACCCTTTCAAATGCCTAATCAGAGTTTTGATGGGTTGCAGCTGGCTGCTAACCAGCCAGGATTGGAAGCTTTCAAGGCAAATAGCACTAATTCACTTTGGAAGGTGAGAGAGTATAAGGCTAGGGAAAGGGGGTGCGGAGAAGCTGGGTCTGGGTCAAGGCCAAGGCGCTGCAACCTCATGGCTGAAAGTGGTGGGCGAACTCATCAATTAGAAGGAAGTTAGTGTAAAATTTATGGTCTTGCCTCCCACCGTTGTTGTTTGTGTGGTGTTAATCACTTGGAAGTCTCCATTCGGAGGAAAGCAGCCCTATGCAATGATTGATTCCCTATTTAGATAACCTGAGGGAACTCCCTCTGAGGGTCTTGCTGAGGTCTGATCTCCTGCCTAGAGTGTATTAAAGGAAAGAGGAGAAACTGAGCCATTCCATATTAACATCCAGATAGGCTGTAGGATCACTTTTAAGTTTGTCTGATAAAATTGTGTTCATTCAGCTTATAGTATGCACCCCCTTCCTTATTTTGCACAGCTTTTGAGGATAGCACCATAAGCAATGCCTGTGGCCGTAGATCCTTGGCCCTTCATCACCTTCAACATCCCAGTCCACCCTCACTTTTTAATGTCAACAGCTTACATAGTCTTTTTTTTTTTTAATATAAAACTCCAAATGTACTACAAGGGTCCTCTTCTGATCCAGCTGGCAGTCCAAAGCTCTGCCTATTTATAAATACTATCATGTATCAGAATCAGGGTACCATGCTTCTAAGTCAAGCTGAAGAACTCTGGGAGTATGTACTTATCACTGGATGCTTGCACACTACTGAAAAAAATTAAGTTCTTGTCAGTCTTGGTTTTGTCTCTTGCTGATTGTCCATTCTGTCCCTTCTTGGACTTCCTGTCTCCTTCTTTCAACTTGGTTCCTGACCTCAGTTTGCTTACTTAGCATGTTCTATGCATGCTAGCTGGTGACCTGACTATGACTCCTGCATCTGACCTCAAGTGCATACCCTATTTTCATCTTTGAGTGGCTTCTGGCAGCTCACAGGACCTTTGTTTATTAATGTTTTATCCCTACTCAATACCTTTCTGGAAGGTAAGGACTGTCTTTCAGCTATACTTCCTATGTAGTAACTTAAATACAAAGTGATCATCTTCTTAATCTCTGCATTGTTACTCCTTGAATCTCTATTATAACCTTAATCCATATAGGATTAACTTCAAGGAGCTCACAATCCAGTACAAGAGCAAGATAAGTCAACTTAAGGAACTATTTACATTTAAAAACGTCATGGCTGGGTGCAGTGGCTCACACTTGGAATCCCAGCACTTTGGGAGGCTGAGGCAGGCAGATCTCTTGAGGTCAGGAGTTCAAGACTAGCCAGGCCAACATGGTGAAACCCCATCTCTACTAAAAACGCAAAAATTAGCTGGGAGTGGCGGCAGGCATCTGTAATCCCAGCTACTTGGGAGGCTGAGGCAAGAGAATCACTTGAATCTGGGAGGCAGAGGTTGCAGTGAGCCAAGACCGTGCCATTGCACTCCAGCCTGGGTAACAAGAGAAAAACTCCATCTCAAAAAAAAAAAAAAAAAAAAAAAAAAAAAAAAAAAAAAAATCACAAAGCAGCCAGAAATGATGACACATGCCTGTAGTCCCAGCTGCTTCTGAGACTGAGGCAGATCACTTGAGCCTAGGAGTTCAAGCTATAAAGCACTATGATTATGCCTGTGAATAGCCACTACACTCCAGGTTGGGTGACATAGCAAGATCCTGCCTCTTAAAAAAAAAAAATGCCACAAAGGATGTGTGGCAATGTGGAAGGGACAGCCAAGACATGAAGAGCTAAAATATCCTGGGGGAGGAAGATAATAATTTTCACATGGGGATCCAGGAGACCTTGCTTAGAACAGGTGATACTTATATTGCAAAGATGAGTTGGTTTTTCACTAGCAAAAGAGGAGTTGATGCTGAAAAGATGAGAACCTAAGCTGTGGAGGACTGTGAATGCTAATGTAAGGACAAGGTTAAAAGATGACGACTTCACTAAACACAGAACTTTATTCTTCTCCCCCATAGTCTGTTCATACCCACTCTGGCTACTTTTTTCCCACCCAGTGGGTGAAATCTAGGGCAATTCTCTTAATCCTTCTGCTCTTTTTAATCTCAGCAATAAAAAAAAAACCTCAGCTGCATGTAAGAGTCAAACATTTCTACTTTCATTGAAAGTTAAAACACCTTTTCACAAATCTGAGGAGTTAGCATCTTTTCTGTGTCTGGTCCCCTGGTTCACTTTTTCTCCCTACCTTGTTAGCCCAGAATGTGGGCGGGGTCACAAAAGAGATATTAAAAAAAAAAAAACTTTCTGAATGGTATGGCTGTGATTTGCCATCAGTGCCCTCTAGGATTGACAAATGTTCAAAGCTGACATTTTCACTAGTGGGCTGCTTTTGTGGACTCTTCAGTGATTACCTTTTAAGAACATTCAACAATTTTTTTATCAGAAAGTATTAGCTATCTGTGATCTCATAGGCATTTATAAAATACCCCCAAACTTAGCAGTTTAAAACAATAAACATTGTATCTGTCTTCAGTTTCTGTCTTCAGGAACCCAAGAGCAGCTTAGCTGGATGGTTTTGGCTCAGGCTCTCTCATGATGCTGCAGTCAAGCTGTTGGCCAGAAATGCAGTCATCTGAAGGAGTGGCTAGGGCTGAAAGATGTTGCCAAGATGGCTGCATCCAAATGGCTGTTAGTTTAAAGGCTCAGTCCCTACCTGTGTGAATCTCCTCTTAAAACTGCTCCCGTGTTTTCATGACATTGCAGCTGGTTTCGTACAACACTTTCACCCAACCTCATCATGAAGTCCTTTTGAGTCACGTCTCATACTCAATCTTGTCACTCCAAAAGAACACACGGCTGGTATTTATGAGAAACATATGGCTTTGGGCCGGACACCAGGGGAGTGAGGCTTGCTCCCAAAATAGCCCCTTATCTTTACTCCACCATTAGGGAAATAGCAAAACCTCTTGTTCTTAATACTTCTAGATGTGAGTCAAGAACAAGGTTCAGGGAACACATGCATGTCTCTTGGATGGACTTTTTATAGGCCTTCTTCATTAGCTGCTATCATTTAAATGTGTCCCCTCCAAAATTCAAGTGTTAAAACTTAGTGGCCATTGTGATAATATTAAGAGGTGGGGCCTTTAAGAGGTGATTAAGCCATGAGGGCTCCTCTTTCTTGATGGGATTAAGGACCTTCTAAAAGAGGCTTTATGCTACATTCAGCTCTTGCCCTTCTGTCTTCCACCAAGTAAGGACACAGCATTCCTCCTCTCTGGAGGATGCAGCCACAAGGTGCCATTTTGGAAGCACAGAGCACCCCTCACCAAACAACCAAACTTGCCACTGCCTTGATCTTGAAGCACCCAGCCTCCAGAAATATGAGAAAAAATACTATTCTTTATAAGTTACCCAGGCTCAGGTATCTTGTTATGGCAGCATAAACAGGCTAAGACAAAAATTGTTACCAGGAGTTGGGTGTCACTATAACAAACACTTAAAAAATGTGTTATTGAGCTTGGAACTAGGTAATGGGTAAAGGCTGAGACAGCTTTGAAGTGAATATTAGAAGGACCCTAGGTTGCCCTGAATGGACCATTAAGGGTGATTCTAATGCAGGCTCAGAAGAAAAGAGCTGGAGAGAGAGTTTCAGTTGTCTTAGAAATTACCTAAGTGAATGTGATCAGAACACTGGTAGAGATATGAATAGTAAAGGTCATTCTGATGAGGTCTTAAATGGAAATGAGGACCATCTTATCAAATTAGAGGGATGCTCATCCTTGTTGCCAAGTGGCAAAGAGCTTGGATGAATTGTGTCTGTGTCCTAGGACTTTATGAAAGGCAGAGCTTTAGAGTGATGAACTGAAATATCAGGTACAAGAAATCTCCAAGCAGACAGTGTTCAGGGTGTTGTGTAGCTTCTCTTAACTGCTTATAGTAAAATGTGAGAAGAGAAAATAATATTTAAAGACAAAATTTATAATTAAAAGGGAAGCATAACTTAAAGATTTAGAGAATTCTCAACCTGGCCATGTAAAGAAAAAACCATATGTAGAACATAAAACCAAGGGTATGGCCAAGTGACTGTTTGATAGTGATTAATATGGGTAGAAGAAAGCCAGATGCTATTCATCAAGACAATGGGAGAATAATCTCAAAGGCATTTCAGATATCTTCAAGTCTACTATGCCCACCACAGGCCTAGAGCACAAGAGCCTTGAGGGTAGAACAGGTTTTGGTGGGGTGGGGAGCCAAAGCAACGTGAGACCTTACGACTTGCAGCCCAAGGCTGCCTAATGTCTCCTCCATTCCCTGCATTTTGGTTCAGTACTCCTTGGCCTCCAAGCCAAGGTACTCCTGTGGCTCACGTGAGCCTGAATATGGCTCAGGCTACCACTCTGAAAGGTATAAGCTGTAAAACTTGATGGCATCCACATGGTGCTAATTCTACAGGCTTGCAGAGCATATACACTGTGGAAGTACTGTTTACCTCCACCTAAGTTTCAAAGATGCCTCAGCGAGCTCAGGGCCCAGACAGAGAATGGTCAGTGGAGCAGGGGCACTGAAGAAAGCCTTCCTAGGGTAAATCTTTGTGGATCCATGGTGGGAGGGACACCTCTACACCCCAGAGCTGTAGGGCCACCAGCATGCAACACCAGCCTGAAAAAGCTCCAGGCACCCAACTCCGACCTGTAAGGGCTAGTGGATGGGCTATGCCTAGCAAAGCCATGGGGGCATGGTCCCCTGCAGTCCTGGGGACCCAACCCCCACCCCAGTGTTTCTGGAAGACGGGACATGAAATCAAGAAAATTATTCTCAAGCCCTAAGACAGTATTGTTTGCCTACTTAGGTTTAGGACTGATTTGGGATCTGTTACCTCTTTCTTCTTGACTATTTCTCCCTTTGAATTGGAAATGTCTATTCTATGGCTGTCCCACCATTACCTTTTAGAATCATATAACTTGTTTAATTTCACAGGCTCACAGCTACAGGGAAATTTGCTTAAGGATGAATTGTGCCTTGAGTCTCACCCATATCTGATTTATGTAAGACTCTATACTTTAGACTTTTAAGTTGGTACAAGAATGAGTTAAGACTTTGGGGGCTATTGGGATGCAATTAATGTATTTTGCACATGAGAAGGACATTAATTTTGGAAGGTGGGGCAAAATGCTGTAGTTTGAATGTGTCCCCTCCAAAATTCAGGGGTTGAAACTTAATGTCTGATGTGATAGTATTAAGATGTGAGGGCCTTTAAGAGGTGATTAGGCCATGAAGGCTCCTCCCTCATGAATGGGATTAAGGCCCTTATAGAAGAGGCTTCACAAAGCATTTGGCTCTGGTTCTTCTACCTTCCACCATGTGAGGATACAGCATTTCCCCCTCTTTGGAGGATGCAGCAACAAGCTGCCATCTTGGGAGCAGAGACAGCAGCCCTCACCAAATCATTAAACTTGCCTGCACCTTGATCTTGAACTTCTAAGCCTCTGCAACTGTGAGAAATAAATTGTTCTTTAAAAGTTCTTTAAAAGTTAAAAGGTATCATATTAGCAGCATAAATAGACTAAGATACTAACCTTGAGATGAGAAAATATCCACAGAGGAGCCAGAGAAAAGAAAATGCCTCAGCATTCCAAAAACTTTCTTCTCAGCCTAATACACACCTCTAGGGTATAGAAACAATTGAGGTTGAGCAGGCCAAGAGTCACAAAAACCCCCTTTGGTTACCATCTTTGTTAGGCCTGTGTAGAGTTTACCCCAACTGTTTTGTACCCAACTATCGAAAGCTTCATCCAAAAGAGAGAACCCACTACATTTGAACATGGTTATACCAGGATGAGGATTTCATCAATGCAAGTGTCAGCCCAGCTCTGCATTTTGTAAGTCATTTGGCTTCAGGTTTTCCCAGAAGCAAACCCTAAGACAAGAATTTGAGGTGCAAGTAGGTTATCTGCGAAGGAATGCCAGGAAATACCTATAGGGATGTAGAAAAGAGGAGAAAGAAAACAAGGGAACAAATAAACGTAGTATTATCAAATCAGCTACTGCTGTGGGCAACTGGTTCAATCATGCTGAACTCTTAGAAACAGAAGAAAACACACTACAGTTATCCAGTTTTTTTCCCATTTGATAGAGGATATTCATCCACCAACTTCCTGTTCCTCATTGATTGAGGGCTGCTTCCTGGGCATTAATTTTCTGAAACTTCTGGCTTGCCCTTTTTGAAGGCTGAATACCATGCTACTCCAGGTAGAATGGCCAGCCATCTCAGTTTGCTTAGGACTGAAAGGCTGAAATGCAGAACCTTTATTGCTAAAATCAGGACAGTCCCAAGCACTCTAGAATGGTGGTTACTTTACCCCTAGACAGGACATTTTGGATATTGGTAGAAGCAGACTTCTTCATGTAGAAGTTAGTGCCAAGGAGATATATTCTGTGTAACAGCAACACCAAGAGAACATGGAAATTTTGGAATAAATGTTTTATTCTTCTAACGGTTTTCTTCTTAAACCTATCCTCACCTCCCCTGAATACAAAAGCCAAGCAATAATCCATTGCTTCAGATATCTTGGCAGGTGCTGGAAACAGAAGCAGCTAGAAGTCTGTATCTCTTCCTTTAGATTTTAAAGGCCTAAGTCTGTTGAAGAGAGTACACAGGTATCTCTGGGGAAAAGGAGAGAGGGCAAAAACAAAGGAAGAAGAAATTTTGAAGACAAAGTCATCAGTTCTCTTTATGTTCAGGTCTTAGTGCTGCCTAATGGTAAAGCCCATGGAGACAAATCAGCAAAAGGGGATTGTATTCTAGGCACAGGAAATACTGCTTTCATAGAGCTTACATGATATTTGATGAAGGCAGAACATTATCAAACATTAAAATATAAGATATTGGCTGGGCATGGTGGCTCACACCCATAATCCCAGCACTTTGAGAGGCCCAAATGTCCAACAATGATAGACTGGATTAAGAAAATGTGGCACATATACACCATGGAATACTATGCAGCCATAAAAAAATGATGAGTTCATGTCCTTTGTAGGGACATGGATGAAATTGGAAATCATCATTCTCAGTAAACTATCGCAAGAACAAAAAACCAAACATCGCATATTCTCACTTATAGGTGGGAATTGAACAATGAGAACACATGGACACGGGAAGGGGAACATCACACTCTGGGGACTGTTATGGGGTGGGGGGAGCAGGGAGGGATAGCTTTAGATTATATACCTAATGCTAAATGATGAGTTAATGGGTGTAGCACACCAGCATGGCACATGTATACATATGTAACTAACCTGCACATTGTGCACATGTACCCTAAAACTTAAAGTATAATAATAATAAAATAAAATAAAATAAAAAGAAAATTGCATATGAGAAATGTGAAGACATTTAGTGACAGATACATTTAAATACCTATATGTTAATCTAACTACATTGAATGCAATCCTCACTAAAACAATATAAACTTAATGTTAGTATCTCCAATTCACATGTAAAGAAAATGAGGATCAGACTAGTAAAGGAATTTACCCAAGTAACACAGTTGAGAGCCCCATTTGTCAATAAAATGCATTGTTTCTCTATAAAACCCACTATTTTCCCCATTTGCCACTGCCTCCTCCATCCCTAATCACTGAACCTCTCTAGACACCAAATTCCTTTTATCTACTTGTCTGTTTATCTAATATTGAGTTTCTACTGTGTGCAAGGCTCTGTATTAGGCATAGATGAAGGCATGTAATTACACATGAACATGATGTAGTTCCTGCCCACAAAGAGTTTGAAATGCAGTAAGGTAGACATTCTCAAACACAATGCTTTTTTAAAAATTGTGAATGAAGGGTAAAGTTGGGGTGCAAGGAGATGCTGGGGAGTTGATATGCTAAATGTAAGCACATACTACCATAACTTAGCTACCCACTTTCCAGACTGAATTGAAGCCACTTTGAAGATTTTTCCCAGCTTACATGGTCCATTGCACAGTTGTTTTGGATGTAGGAGTCAGAACAGGCTGTGTTGGAAAATTACTTCTACATATGTGTCCTGCAGTGTGGGGAGAATTCAGGCAATCCTAAAGTGCCACTTCAGCTACCTTTTCCAGCCTTATCTCCTGCTATTCTACTCTCTAAACCCTAATTTCCAGGCCAACCTATTAGGTTGGTGCAAAAGTAATTGCAGTTTTTGCCATTATAATAATTTTATGCTTCTCCATAATGGTGTTCTAAATTATCTCTCTTCCATGTTTTTCCCTTTCTGCTAAAACCAATCTGCTCTATTCCCTGGAAAAGAAAACAGTGCAGCATACTTGCTGGAATTCCTGCAGTCAAAGGCAGGGCAAGGGGTAGTGTGAGAGAGGGTAGTCCTAAACTCAGAATACATAGACCTGAATTCAATATCCTGCAGTTAGGCTTATAAGCTACATACTGAAAAACTTTCTCTCTCTCTGGACCTCAGTTTCCTCATCTGCAAAATATAAAGGAAGCCCTGCCTATCTGTCAGGGCAGCTGCAAGACTCAAGATAATGACTCTAAAATACTTTGCATATTGTGAAGCAATCCCTTATGCATGTTTTTGCTTATGCAAACGTAAGAGATTGTCATTAGCATTCTGAATTTTTCTAACTGATGTGTTTTTGCAAGAGTTTGGCTAGAAATATGATTAAGATATGTCCCAGCTGGGCAGCTTCTTCCACTGCAGCTTCATTCAATAGCCACAAAGGGGATAGAATAGGCTTTTTGTGATTGTTTTTCACACAGTTGGAAACATTTCAAAGCATCAGATCTTTTTTTTTTAAGCAAACTCTGCTTTATTTGCATTCCATCTATTTCCAGTGCATAAGGAGCATTGTAAATGTATGCTTTCAAAGTTAAAAGTGTAAAATAAAAAGACATATCTTCTATTTTTTAAAAGACTCAGGATTTGCAAAGAATTTACATATCACTGACAATACTGATGGGACACATTCAAAAGGAGAATTGAGGAAGTAATTCTGGTAAAACAGGAAGTTTTTCTAGGCTGATAATGAAGTGTAACACTTTCTCCTTGACTGTTGGAAAAACACAACTTAGGCCTAATCAATTAGTCAATAAATCCTTGAGCAAACAAACAAGAAAGAACTCAAAACGTATAGAAGAATATTGCTAAGTGACAGATACTGGAGAAGGAGCAGGTTAGGGGACAGTATGATGAATTCACTCTGGAGTATATTGATTTCAAATTCCTTTGAGAGAGGCCATATTGGAGTTTGGATACACAAAAGTAAAACTAAAAAGTGATGAGTAGATCTGAGATACAAAGACAGCAGATATTGGCAAAGATATGGATTGAAACTCTGGGAGTGGAGATGGTGCCTGAAGGGGAAGAGTTGCCAGCAACTAGGGGTCAGGACAAAGATGAGGATCCAGCAAAGGAGGCTCAGGAGGAGAAACTGGAAAAGTGTTAAGAAAGTCAAGGGAATGTGGTGTCACAGAGGCAAGGCAAGAGTAAATCAAGACAGAGGGGCCAGTGTTCAATAGTGGTAAGTTCTTCTGATAAGGCTAGTACAATGATAACTTGTTGTTCACTGGGTTCAGCACCAAGAAGGTAACTCTAGTGAGAGCTGTTTTGGTGGAATTACAAGAAAGAACCAGATTTCAGTGGGTTGAAGAAGGAATGAAAAATGAAGTGGAGACAGAGCATAGACAGTTATGTCAAGAAATTCAGCACTGAACAGAAGGAGAGAAAAATGTCAGTATCTGGAGGTGTATGTGGGCTTCAGAGAGTCTTTTATAAATTGAAAGAAACTGAAGCATGCTTGATTATGGATAGCAAGGGTCCAGTTGATGGCTAGCCATATGCAGAAAACTGAAATTAAACTCCTTTCTTACAGCTTATACAAAAATTAACTCAAGATGGATTAAAGACTTACATGTAAAACCCAAAACTATAAAACCCTAGAAGAAAATCTGGGCAATACCATTCAGGATATAGGCACAGGCAAAGATTTTATGACAAAAAAAACATCAAAAGCAATTGCAACAAAAGCAAAAATTGACAAATGGAATCTAATTAAACTAAAGAGCATCCACACAGGCAAAGAAATTATCATCAGAGTGGACAGGCAGCCTATGGAATGGGAGAAAACTTTTGCAATTGATCCACCTGACAAAGGTCTCATATCCAGAATCTATAAGGAATTTAAGCAAATTTACAAGAAAAAAACAACCCCATAAAAAGGCAGGCAAGGGACATGAACAGACAGTTCTCAAAAGAAGACATTTATGCAGCCAACAAACATATGAAAAAAAGCACAACATCACTGATCATTAGAGAAATGCAAATCAAAATCACGAGACACCATCTCACGCCATTCAGAATGGCGAATATTAAAAAGTCAAGACGCAATAGACTCTGGCGAGGCTGTGGAGAAATAGGAACACTTTTACACATTGGTGGGAGTGTAAATTAATTCAACCATTGTGGAAGACAGTGTGGCAATTCCTTAAAGATCTAGGACCAGAAATACCATTTGATCTAGCAATCCCATTGCTGGGTATATACCATATACCCAAAGGAATATAAATCATTCTATTATAAAGATACATGCACGTGTGTGTTGACTGCAGCATTATTCACAATAGCAAAGACATGGAACCAACCCAAATGCCCATCAATGATAGACTGGATAAAGAAAATGTCGCACTTTTCACCATGGAATACTATGCAGCCATAAAAAGGAATGAGATCATGTCCTTTGCAGAGACATAGATGGAGCTGGAAGCCATTATCCTCGGCAAAGTAACACAGGAACAGGAAACCAAACACTGCATGTTCTCATTTATAAGTAGGAGCTGAACAATGAGAACACATGGACACAGGGAGGGGAGCAACACACACTGGGGCCTATCAGGGGGACAGGGGAAGGGAGAACATCAGGATAAATAGCTAATGCATGCAAGGCTTAATACCTAGGTGATGGGTTGGTAGGTGTAGCAAACCACAATGGTACACATTTACCTATGTAACAAACCTGCACATCCTGTACATGTATCCCAGAACTTAAAATTAAATTAAATTTGAAAAAAAGAAAGAGTATAGTTGAGAGGGATAAATTGAAGACACAGGGGAAAGAAGCACATGATTTCCAGGAATACAAAAGAACATGGAAACCAAAGCATAGATCAGGATTACCTATCCCCCCTGATGGTACAGGGAGGTGATAACACCTGAGTCAAGCTACCTAAAAGATGAGTAAAATTTCTCCATGTAAGGGGAGCAGATGAAAAAAAATAAGGCATTCCTTATTCAGTGCTCTTCTCTATTTCAGCACTGTGGACTCTTAAACTTGCTTGGATTGAATGGAAGAAAGTGCTCCAGGGTAACATTTTGTGCAGTTGTAATTTTTCTAGACATAAATAAAATGTAGGTTTAGCAATAGACACTGCAGACTCCAAAAGGAGGGAGGAAGAGATCATGAAAAACTACCTATTAGGTACTATTTCTCTATTTGGTGACAGGTTCAATTATAGCCCAAACCTCGGCATCATACAATATATCCGTGTAGCCAACCTGCCTATGTATGTCTTGAATCTATTTTTTTTCTTGAAATGTGAGTTTACTTACACAATACTTATATTGTGTGTCTCCACCCAAGGCATATCTTTCATCTGGGTTATTTCCTTTAGAAAATGTGCAGCCAATGGTAATGAGTCTTAACTCCCAGGTGTCTGTAACCATTTATATAATGCAATAGATTTCCTCACTCCCTGTCACATTTCCTCTATATTTCATAAGTGAATAGTTTCCTTATAATCATAGTACGGCCTAATTAGAACCTGTCCATCTCAACTGAAAGGGACAACTTGGCCTTTTAGGTGATCAGGTCTGAACTCACTTGATGAAAAACATCTTTCAGTGGTAAGAAGTTGGGAATTTGGTCTGGATAGGGAAGGAAGCTTAAGATGCAGAATATTCTGTGACATGCACTATCCACAAAGAAAAGCAAGCTGTAAAAAGCAATTTATTTTTTCAAAGTTAATTGTTGCCAACTAAAACTCAATACACATAAGAAATTCACTTCATAGATAAAGGCATGGCATAAGATTCAAACTTTCTAGTAACTTTGTTGAAATGAAGTAACATTTTCCACTACTCAATTAGCAATATTTTCTTTTAAATACTAGTAACTAAAGTTAATAAACATATGTTTAAACCAGTCCATCCAATCATTCTTAGTATCAAGGTAAATTAAATTAATTCTTGTAGAAAGCAATCTGGAACTATGAAATGAGATCTAAAAATGCTTATATATTTTGACCCAGTATTTCTCCATAAGGGAATTTATTGTACAAAAATCTAGATGATACAAAATATATATATACATATGTATGTATATACTTGAGATCCAATCAATCAATCCTTGAGCAAACAAACTAGAAAGAAAAAATAAAACGATGTATATTTGTAGCAAATATAAATTTTAGCTCATTCACAGTAAAATAAGTATCCTATTTCTATAATTCAGTTCAATTTCTGACTCTGAAACCAATTTCTCCCATGGCCCTGGAAATCTAATTTCCATTATTGGAGTTTTTCTAAATAGAGTTGTGTCATGGCTCAAGGATCGTGTGTGATGCTGAAGCTCTGTGCGGTTAGGAAGAGGTTGGTGGTGAGTTATCTGTTGTTACCCACCCTCACCCTTCACAATGCCTTGGGATTCAGCTTCCCTCTCTTGTTTCTGTGTCATCTGTAAGAGAAAAGAATCATTCATAAGGCCAAAAACCCTTTCCTCTATGTCCCACATCCCATCATGCCCAGCCCTTCTTAGGTCTTGCTACCTTCCCAGTTGTCCTGCCAGGATGAAGACATGAGATTCCTGCATTTTGGGTATTCTTAGGAACGTAGTTTTCTCTCTCTCTCCACACCCTATTATGCCAAGGAGGTTTCGGAGATAGTGCCATTAAAAAATAAAAACGGAAGAGTTATGCTCTTCCTGCTTTTTCCAAGACACTCTGCCTCTCTCCAGATCCTCCAGCTGTCCTCTCCTTTCAGCTCCACTCTCACCTCAAGCTTTTGAAAACAAAGGTCAGGAACAGAAGAACTTGGAGATGGCTCTGCTTTTAGCCCAGCCTCAAACCACCTCCAGGCTGGAGTAAGAGCAGCTTCTCTGGGTTTGAGCAGGAGGCCAGAGATATAGAAGAAAAAAATTTGTATCTCAAAATATCCTTGTCATGCATAAAGATTATAATGACAAAAAATGATAGAAGGATTGCAAACATCAAAATTATTTAATAGTGGGGATATAATCTTGTACCAATCAGTAGAACAGATTTTGTTTTCAAACATTACCATAATTTAATCCTCATAATAGTCTTTGAATATAATGTAATAATTAGGAATAATTTTGAAGACAAGGCATCAGCCTGGATACATTGTAAAGACCAAAAGTCACCAACAAAAACGAAAATATCTGATGTGTTTGGGTGGTGGAATTTTGTGTCAATTATTTTTGTAACAAGGATTATGTAACATCATGGAAAAGAAATAGAAACTAGAGGAGAAAATACTTTTTTCCAGATTTGAAATGAGAAATAAAGAAATCCTTGTAGATTTTGCCTCAAAAAGTATTATCAAGATTCAGTTCAAGAATTCAAAGCTATTCCAGCCGCTGCCATAGCTAATGAGTTGAGATTAAATCAAGAGGGAAACAAACCATCTATATACTCTCCTCTAAATCACTAAGACCTATTGTCTGCCTCTCCAGTCCTACCCATCCTTTAGATCCTGGAGAAGAATCTAGAAAAAAAAGTCAATGAGGCTTCTGATAAACGGTAAGCCCAGGTGAAAGATTTGTTCTAAGGAGGGGAAATCACATTTGTTGAGCACCCTTTATGTTCCAGACACTGGGGATAGATACTTTTCCATTTTCATCATATTTAATGGACTCTATTGGTTCCATTTTACTGAAGTGAAAACTGAGGCCCAGAAATGTTAAGTGATTTGCCTAATGCCACTCAATGACTGAGTCAGAATTCCAACTCAAGTCTGGCTGAGCCCAGCTCCAGTTATTTTCCACATCGCTATGTTGCCTCTCCTTGAAGCAGCCCCTCATGGGCAATTCCACACTGTCTGCCCAAGGTAAAAATTTAAAAACATGAAAAATTTTATTGTTACTACAAATTAGTGAAAATACTAATAAACTAGTTTTACTAGAAAACAGTAACACCATTGATATGGTTTGGCTGTATCCCCACCCAAATCTCATCTTGAATTATAATTCCCATAATCCCCACGTGTCTAGGGAGGGACCTGGTGGAAGGTGATTGGATCATGCGGGTGGTTTCCTCCATGCTGTTCTCATGATAGTGGGTGAGTTCTCATGAGATCTGATGGTTTTATATGGGATCTTCCCCCTTCACTCCTTGATCTCTATTCTGCCGCCACATGAAGAAGGTCCTTGCTTCCCCTTTGCCTTCCACCATAATTGTAAGTTTCCTGAGGCCTCCCCAGCCCTGTGGAACTGTGAGTCAATTAAACCTCTTTCCTTCATAAATTACCCAGTCTCAGGTAATATCTTTATAGCAGCGTGAGAACAGACTAATACAACCATTAACCAGCATTTCACGGAAGTGTTTTCTGTGAAATGTTCATTGATACCAGTGTTTCATGGCCAAATAACATGGGAAGATGCTATATTCAATAAACTCCCTTTTGGAAATTCACAGTGCACTTAGAGACTCTGAGTAATTAGGGGGAAAAAACCCTTCTTAGCTCTTTAAATCCAGTGTTTCCCAGACTTACCTAGTCATAGAATCTTTTTTGTCGTAATACTATTACCACTCCTAGACCAGCTGCACAAACCTGTGTTTGAGACCATGGAAGGGGCCTCCAGGAGAAAGCCAAAGGGAACTATTTTCATGGAGAGGGAGGATGCTTTGTAACTAGAGACAGCTGTGCTCAGTGAGATTGTCACAGTAGGAGAGGGGAATGTTGTCCTCAATCCTGGGTGGAACTGTCATGGCCTCAGCACAGTGAAGGCTCTGGGAAACATGACTCCACTTGGGCACAGCAAGCACTTGCAACTTTGTGAATATCAGGAGACTGGCAGCAACAGCAATGTGGCACAAAGTGAGTCATGCCAAGCAGAACCCAGCAGGGATGAGAGGTCCTCCTTTGGTGTCAAAGTATAAACCACAGTGAAGGCAGTTAGAATGAGAGTGGATGCCTAACCCAGAGCAGGCACTGAATCAATACATCCAATGTTAAATGCTAATAATGGCAAAGGGAAAAGTTTCCTTGGATTTAATCTGGCTCCCCCTGGGACTCCAAGAAGTATCTTTATGTATCATCCTGATCTTGGCAGGAAAGAGGCAGTAATGTCAGCAGGGCTTCACTGAACAATAATTTAATGAGGAGAATTTTTACAAAGATGGAGAGAGGGTGAAGGGATTTAATCAAGGATGGTGTATTAGCGTTCTCTAGAGGGAAAGAACTAATAGGATATACATAGATATATATATATAAAGGGGAATTTATTAAGTATAAACGTATATGATCACAAGGTACCACAATAGGCCATCTGTAAGCTGAGGAGCAAGGAGAGCCAATCCAAGTCCTGAAAGCGAAGACCTTAGAGTCCAATATTCAAGGGCAGGAAGTATCCAGCATGGGAGAAAGAGGTAGGCTGGAAGCTAGGCCCATCTCTCCTTTTCACATTTTTCTGCCTGCTTTATATTCGCTGGCAGCTGATTAGATTGTGCCCACCAGATTAAGGGTGGATCTGCCTTCCCCAGCCCACTGACTCAAATGTTAATATCTCTTGGCAACACCCTCACCAACACACCCAAGATCAGTACTTTGTATCCTTCAATCCAATCAAGTTGACACAGAGCATTAACAATCACAACTCCAACCCCTGTCAACTTGAACCCATACACACCTCCTGAGGTCATACATAATCTTAAAGACAATAATGTCATAATTACACCTAACATAATACAACTATCCTTCATACAACCAGAAAGGCACCAATCCCCAACCCAAATACTATTATATAAAGTTAACAATACTTAAATGCTGCTATGAAGTCAATAAATCTTATGTCACATCATAGAGAAAAAGGAAATAAAATGAAGATATTTTCTTAGTACAAGTGTATACATGCACAAACATGATTTTAGCAAAAGAAGGAGGAAATTCTCATGACAATTACAGTCCCCATTTCTGCAGCTGGTCACGTGGTCGTAGCTGATATTGATGACTACCTTCTTCTACCCATTCTGTATTCCCTTTGCCTTCAGCAAGCAGCTCAGCAGGTTGTGGTTTTTTTTCCTGGTGGAGTGATCCAAACCTTCATTTCTGAGGGGTCTGGGCCATTTGTAGTCCTGCCTGTTGTAGTTTCCCATTGACCTTAATCACAGGGCATGGTAATACTAAGAGATGCCCTAATGAATTTCCTGTATTACCTGCATACTCTTCCTTGCCGCAGTTATGGAGTAGTAGACTGACTTCATCTTGATAGTCTGGGTCAATCATCCCAGCCAACACTGTAACTCCCTTCTTAGCCTGTTGACTTAAAGACAGGAGGAGAAGCCCAAAGTATCCTGGTGGCAATCTTAACTTCCAGTTTAATGGAATCGTTGTTGTGTCTCCTGGTGGCAGCCTTCCTTCCTCTGGAACTAAGACCTTTAGGCCAGCAGAACATAATGTCGTGGGAACAGGAGCAAAAATTTTCTAGTGGATCACTAGGGGTGATGGTGAGTGGTGCCATTTCCACTTCCACTTCCATCCCTTGAATCCTGGACCCACGAATCCTGGCTATGGGAGAAACAGTACCATATATTGGATGCTGATTTAGAGCATACACGGCCTTCTGGATAACTTTGTCCCAGCCCTGCAAAGTATTGTCACCTCACTGGTGTTGTAATTGTGACTTCAAAAGGCCATTCCACCACTCTTATCAATCCAGCTGCTTCAGGATGATGGGGAACATAAGGCCAGTGAACTCCATAAGCATAAGTCTACTGCTACACTTCTTTAGCCATAAAGTGAGTGCCTTGGTCAGGCAATGCTGTGTGGAATACCACGACAGTGGATAAAGCATTCCGTGAGTCCACAGATGGTAGTCTTGGCAGAAGCATTGTGTGCAGGATAGGCAAATCTATATCCAGAGTAATTGTCTATTCCAGTGAGGACAAACCTCTTCCCTTTCCATGATGGAAGAGGTTGAATATATTCAACCTGCCACCAGGTAACTAATCACCATGAGTAATGGTGCTATATCAAGGGTTCGGTGTTAGTCTCTGCTGCCGGCAAATTGGGCGCTCAGCAGTGGCCGTAGCCAGATCAGCCTTGGTGAGTGGAAGTACATGTTGCTGAGCCCATGCATAACCTCCATCCCTACCACCATGGCCACTTTGTTAATGGGCCCACTGGGCGACGACAGGGGTGGGTGGGGAAAGAGGCTGAGTGGTGTCCACATAACAGGCCATTCTATCCACCAGATTATTAAAATCTCCTGTGCTGAGGTCATCCGTTGGTGAGCACTCACGTGGGATACAAATATCTTCACAGTTTTTGGCCACTCAGAGGTCCATCCACATACCTCTTCCCCAAATTTGTCACCAATTTTCCAATCATGCTTCTTCCAAGTCCCTGACCATCCAGCCAAACCATTGGCTACAGCCCATGAATCAGTATATAATCGCACACCTGGCCATTTCTCCTTCCATGCTAAGTGCACAACCAGGTTCACTGCTCAAAGTTCTGCCAACTGGGAAGATTTCCCTTCACTGCTGCCCTTCAGGGATGTCCTAGAAAAGGGCTGTAGTGCTATAGCTGTCCACTTTTGCATGGTTCCTGAATATCATGCAGAATCATCTCTGAACCAGGTCTTCTTTTCCTCTGTCAACCAATTATAGGGAACTCCCCATGAGGCCATCAGTGCACCCTGTGGGGGGAGCAGGCAGGGTGGCAGAAGTAGACACCATGGGCATTTGAGCCACTTCTTCATGTAACTTACTTATGCCTTCAGGACCTGCTCGAGCCCAATCACGTATATATCACTTCCATTTGATGATGGAATTCTGCTGTGCATGACCCACCTTATGGCTAGGTGGGTCAGAAAGCACCCAGTTCCTGATAGGCAGTTCAGGTCACATGGTGACTTGATGACCCATAGTCAAATGCTCAGTTTCCACCAAAGTTCAGTAACAGTCTAAGAGCTGTCTCTCAAAAGAAGAATAGTTATCTGCAGAAGATGACAGGGCCTTGCTCTAAAATCCTAGCGGCCTCTGCCATGATTCACCTATGGGGGCCTGCCAAAGGCTCCAAACAGCATCCCTATCTGCTACTGACACCTCAAGCACCATTGGATCTGCTGGGTCATGTGGCCCAAGTAGCAGAGCAGCTTGCACAGCAGCCTGGACCTGTTGCAGAGCCTTCTCCTGTTCTGGACCCCACTCAAAACTGGCAGCCTTAGAGGTCACTTGATAAATGGGCCACAGTAATGCACCCAAATAAGGACCATGTTGCCTCCAAAATCCAAATCGGCCCAGTAGGCATTGTGCCTCTTTCTTGGTTGTAGGAGTGGCCAAATGCAGCAACTTATCCTTCACCTTAGAAGGAATATCTTGACAGGCCCCACACCACTGTACCCCTAAAAATTTTACTGAGGTGGAAGTTTCCTTAATTTTAGTCGGATTTATTTCCCATCCTCTGGCATACAAATGTCTCACCAACAAGTCCAGTGTACTTGCTACTTCTTGCTCACTGGATCCAATCAGCATAATGTCATCAATGTAATGGACCAGTGTGATACTTTGCAGAAGCAAAAAGCAGTCAAGGTCTCTCCGAATAAGATTATGACACAGAGCTGGAGAGTTGCTATACCTCTGAGGTAGGACTGTAAAGGTATATTGCTGGCCTTGCCAGCTGAAGGCAAATTGCTTCTGGTGGGCCTTATGGACAGGTATGGAGAAAAAGGCATTTGCCAAGTCAATGGCTGCATACCAGGTACACATTTCTCAAGCAATGAAACCATATCTGCTACAGCAGCTGCAATTGGAGTCACCACTTGGTTAAGCTTATGATAATTCACTGTCGTTCTCCAAGATCCATCTGTCTTCCGCACAGGCCAAATGGGAGAGTTGAACAGGAATGGGTTGGGAATCATCACCCCTGCATCTTTCAAGTCCTTGATGGTGGCACTAATCTCTATATTATGGAGATATAAAAAAAAATTTTGTTTTTGATTTACTATTTGTTTTTTGATTTACTATTTGTTTTGATATTGTTTTGATTTACTATTTGTCTATACAGAGGCAGCTCTAATGGCTTCCATTTGGCCGTTCCCACCATAATAGTCCTCACCCTACCAGTCAGGGAGCCGATGTGAAGGTTCTGCCAGCTGCTAAGTAAGCCTATGCCAATTATGCATTCTGGCACTGGGGAAATGACCATAAGATGAATCCAGGGACCTACTGGACCCTCTGTATTAGGCCCTGAACTAAAACTCCATTAATTACCTGACCTTTATATGCCCCTACTTTAACTGGAGGACCACAATGATGTTTTGGGTTGATTCCCCTGGAATCAACATCAGCCCAGAGCCAGTGTCCAGTAGTCCCCCAAATGTCTGATCGTTTCCCTTTCCCCTATGCACAATTACACTAATAAAATGCCAGAGGTCTCCTTGGGAAGGATGGGAGAAAGATTCACTATGTAAATTGTCAGTAATATAGTGGGGTCCTTCCTCAAGGGGACCCGGCCTCCACCTCATTCAAGGGGTTCTGGGTCTGTAAACTGGCTCAAGTCTGGAAATTGATTGAGGGGTCATGATTCTGTTTTTATAATTCAGATTAGTCTTTTGTCCATTCGACCTAGAAGTTTTCTGCTTGTATAAATTAAGTAGGAATGCAGTAGGCTACCTATCCATTTCACTTCTAAGAACACCATGATTAATTAGCCAATGCCAGAGCTCTACACAAGTCAGACTATGCAGATTGCAGCTTTACCACTTCTGTCCATTATAGTAGCTAAGCCCACCTTGCCTTTGATGGTTCAGTGCTTCCACTTGGTCCCTGCCACCTCAGGATCCAATTATTCTCATTGTATTTAAATTTTGTAGTTGAATGACTGCAGTTCCCACTGTTACATCTGACATACAGAGCAAAGCAATTACAGGGGTCTTCAAAGATGCAGGTGCTGCCCTCACAAATCTGTTTTGCAAGGCATTGGTCAAAGGTATATCTTGCAAGGGCATTGGCCAAGGAGCAACTTGTCCTTTTAGGTGATCAGGTCTGAACCCACTTGATGAAAAACATCTTTCAGTGGTAAGAAGTTGGGAATTTGGTCTGGATAAGGAAGGAAGCTTAAGATGCAGAATATTCTGTGATGTGCACTATCCATGAAGAAAAGCAAGCTGTAAAAAGCAATTTATTTTTTCAAAGTTAATTGTTACCAACTAAAACTCAATACACATAAGAAATTCACTTCACAGATAAAGGCATGGCATAAGATTCGAACTGTCTAGTAACTTTGTTGAAGTGAAGTAATGTTTTCCACTACTCAATTAGCAATATTTTCTTTTAAAATACTAGTAACTAAAGTTAATAAATATATGGTTAAATCAGTCTATCCAATCATTCTTAGTATCAGGGTAAATTAAATTAATTCTTGTGGAAAGAATTATCCAGCTGGAATAAGTAGGTCTAAAGTGACTAATCCACTCCACCATCCCAATCTCCCTAAGCTTTTGGATCCCTTCCTCTTCATTAAACCAAGGGAGATCAGGCATTTCCATCTTGCTCACAGTGGGCTATCTTTTAATCCATATTTCAGCTAACTAAGCAAATAAACTATTAGAACCTTTTTTTTTTAACTCCCTGAGCTGCAACATTAAAAGAAGAGTCCCTACTCAGTGGGCCCAAATCAACAAATTCAGCCTGATCCAACTCTGTTCCTTCCACCATTATCCCATACCCTTAATACCCATTCCCAATTCTGTTGTCCAGGTTGCTGTTTATATAAATTAGAGAACTCCAACAGCTATTTTTGAGTGTAGCACACCTTGTCGTGAGTCACACTCTCAACCTCACTTCTAGGGGCCTGCTTGGACTTTAATCTAGTTATAGGTCTAGAAGCAAACAGAAGTGTTAAGGTGGCTCCTGAGGAGAATCAACATTATCTTGCCTGGCAACTGCCTCAGGGGAGGCCATCACTGTTGCCTTAGGCAGTGCAGGGTTTATCTCCTCAGACAAAGGTGGAAAGGCTGATGGCAGCATGGGTCGGGGAGGGGATGTTGCTACCACTGGGGATGGGAAAGCTGTTACTTCTGGCACAAAGGTTCATATACATATATATATATATATATATATATATATATATATATATATATATGTATATGAACCTTTTTAAATATATATAAACCTCTATATATCTATATGAACCTTTATATATATATGAACCTTTATTTATATATATAAAATATATATGTTATTTATATATATGAACCTTTATATGTAAATGTATATAAAATATATATATATCTATATATGAACCTTATATGGCCTTTCCCCCCATCTGCTTCTGCAGGCCCTTTAGCCCATCCCAAATGTTCTACTGGGATGGCTCTTCTCTGTCTCCCCAACACCCCTGTCAGATGGTGCCAGTTCTCAGCTAGGTTCTGATAACACCTTCTTCCCTTCTCCCTTCTGACCTAAGGGTGGTAAATCCTTCCTTTAGGTGCTGGTCCCTGGGTGCCTCACCATCTGTGATGGTTAATACTGAGTGTCAACTTGATTGGATTGAAGGATACAAAGTATTGATCCTGGGTGTGTTGGTGAGGGTGTTGCCAAGAGATATTAACAAGTTCTTCAGTTTTGGGACTCCGACTGGCTCTCCTTGCTTCTCAGCTTGCAGATGGTCTATTGTGGGACCTTATGATTGTGTAAGTTAATACTTAATAAACTCCCCTTTATAGATGAACCATATATATATATAGATGAACCTTATATATAGATGAACCTTATATATAGATGAACCTTACATATATAGATGAACCTTACATATATATATTAACCATATATATATAACCTCATATGAGGTTTTATATATATATGGTTATATATAAGGTTCATACATATATATATATGGTTCATATATATATATATACATGGTTCATATATATATATATATTTAAAGGGGAGTTTATTAAATATTAACTTACACAATCACAAGGTCCCACAATAGACCGTCTGCAAGCTGAGAAGAAAGGAGAGCCAGTCAGAATCCCAAAACTGAAGAACTTGGAGTCCAATGTTCAAGGGCAGAAAGCATCCAGCATGGGAGAAAGATGTAGGCTGGGAGGCTTTATATTCACTGGCAGCTGATTATATTGTGCACACCAGATTAAGGGTGGGTCAGCCTTCCCCAGCCCACTGACTCAAATGTTAATATCTCTTGGCAACACCCTCACCAACACACCCAGGATCAATACTTTGTATCCTTCAATCCAATCAAGTTGACACTCAGTATTAACCATCACAGATGGTGAGGCACCCAGGGACCAGCACCTAAAGGAAGGATTTACCACCCTTAGGTCAGAAGGGAGAAGGGAAGAAGGTGTTATCAGAACCTAGCTGAGAACTGGCACCATCTGACAGGGGTGTTGGGGAGACAGAGAAGAGCCATCCCAGTAGAACATTTGGGATGGGCTAAAGGGCCTGCAGAAGCCGACTGGGGGAAATGCCAGTGAAATATGGGTTGTTATTATTAAAGGGACACAATTTACATGAATAGACTGGGGAGTCCTGGAGACACAAGAATTACACCAAGAAACTCAAAATCTAAGAAGCTCAGATTTAAGTATTTTCAAATATCAGAAACTCATGATTCACCTGGAGAAAATAACTGGGTGAAGTTGAGACTCCCTCCCCATTTCTGTAGCCCATTGAATTTGCCTCCCATTCATTTATGCAAAACATGCTGAGTTAATTTATGTGTGTGCCTTCTTTTCAGCATTCCTCAGATGGGACACTCAGAAATAGTGGTAGCACATTTATTTGCTTAAACCTTTCCTGTGGATGAGTCTGCCCACTGCACCTGGGAAAGGGATTATGCCTCAGGAGGAGGCATAATCTACCATAGCTATTAATAGGCTATCAGCCACCCCAGGGGCCATTCGCTAAAACACCCAATGAACATTTGTTCTTGGGGATCAGGTCCCCACGCCCTTCTCAAAAATGTGCTTGGAAACCACAGGGATGCCTGGATAATAGCCCAGAATGTGTAGAATGCAGGGCTCTGGATTTTGCTGACCAAAAATAAAATGAATAAAGTCAGACATATCTCTGGGAGTGGGCTCTGCATGGGGAAGAGATGAAAGAGTGGCCACGAAAAGGTAAGGCAACTCCAACATTAACCATGGTAGAAGGCCACTACCACAAGGAGAATGAGGGAGATGGAGGAAGGAGCCGTTGTTTCCAGAGCTCCAAGGAGGCTGGAGCCTCAGAAGGTCTACTCAGTAAGAACTTGGACCCACAAAGAGAGGAATGGCCAGTGGTAGCCAGAATCATGGAGAAGATGCAAGCCCTGTTGGAAGGGCTACTCAAAGCAGGGAGAGACATATTCTAGCTGGTATTTTCCTTCTGTCCATCAATTTTTTGCCAGGTTCTCCCATAAATACGATCTGCTCTGAAGCCACTTGGCAAGGAGTATTGGAAACTGAATTTCCCTGCAATGTAAAACTAAGAAGTGTCAGATGGGATGGATGTGAGATCAAACAAGCAAGTGATCAACACACCCTTCTGTGCAAATGTTCATCTCCGACCTGCCCTCATCAGTATCACCACATCTCTGAACTGCCCTCATCAATATTACCAGTCACCTGCCCCTTGCCAAATACTATGGTAAATTCATGTTTCTTAAACTCTCAACAGCACTTGAATCAATCACTTCTTTTTCTTCTTTTCTTCACTTGGCTTCTGGGACACTTCTCTTAACTTCTGGCTTTTCTCCTAGAACATTTGCTATGACTTTTAGTCCCTTTTACTGGTTCCCCCCCATTTCCCCATTTTCTATGTTGGAGTGCTTAAGGATGCTTTCCTTTGGTTATTTCCTATTTTCTGTCTTTACTCTTACTCCTTTGGTGATCCCACCTGGTCCCATGGACTTAAATGCCACCTATCTAGATACTATCACTCTGAAATTTCTATCCATAGACCCACCCTCCCGTGTTGCTCTGCCATTTGTATATCTGGATGCCTACTAGAGAGCTCCAGTTGGATGCTAGTGGGCATCTCAAATAGTGTATGTTCTAATTTTTAAAAATTTTTCTGGCTGGGCACGGTGGCTCACACCTGTAATCCCAGCACTTTGGGAGGCCAAGGCAGGTGGATCATCTGAGGTCAGGAGTTCAAGACCAGCCTGGCCAACACGGCGAAACCCCATCTCTACTAAAAATACAAAAATTAGTAGGGTGTGGTGGCTCATTCCTGTAATCCCAGCTATGTGGGAGGCTGAGGCAGGAGAATCGCTTGAACCGGGAGGCAGAGGTTGCAGTGAGCCAAGATCGCGCCACTGCACTCCAGCTTGGGTGCCAGAGCAAGACTCCGTCTCAAAAAAGAAAAAAAAGAAAAAGAAAAAAAAATTTTTTTCTCCTGCAAATTTGCCCTTTTCCCACTTTGAGTTCAGTTCTGTGCTGATAGTAGATGCGGAATGTATATATACTCTAACAGCTATTGTGAATACATTTTTCATAATCATTATGAAGTATTTCACAAGCCTTTTATTCAACAAATACTGACAGAGTGCATGAGAAATGCCAGACCCTGCACTAGTCACTGAGCAAACAAAAGTGAATCAGACATGGTACCTGATCTGGAGAGAGAGAGGGAAAGATGGCCATTTGTGCCTATTTGTGTATATAAAATTATATCCTCCACCCAGCTTTAAGTTACCTGAGAACTAGGGTATTGTAATGGTTCATGGAGTGGAAATGCCAGCTAGTTTGAGTAAGAAGCAGAATCTTGGGGTCTCTTTTAGAAGCCAGGGAAGGTGCAATAATCAAACCCCAGAAAAGGCAGGGACTTCTTCAGCAGTTTGTGGGTCTTTTCTCTAGCGGGCTGTAATAACAAGACTTAGCTTCAACTTCCATTGACACTGGAACAACAGAATCACAATGTGTAAGAACAACAAAGGAGATAATCTCTGTGAACCCTAGCCTCCTTACTTGTAGAATGGAGAGATGAATAATGCCCATAGTGCGGTTGTGAGGATTAAATACCATAAAATACATGACAGATGGGGCATGATGCTTGACCACAACAAAAGCAGCTACTATTCACGGGGTGTTTGCTATTTTTGTTTCTATTATTATTTATACCAACTCCTTGTTTTTTTATGTTGATGGAAGACCCAGGGAGAAAAAAGCAACTGACTTAATGTCACCCTGTAAGTTAGGCAGGCATAGAACCGGGCCAGAACATTGGGCACCAGACAGATTACGAGCCCAGCGCGGTCTTGATGACATCATTGTGCCTCTTCATGAGGTTAATCCTCTGGGCCACAGAGAATCCTAGAATCATCATGTTTGAAGGAATCTTCATGTTTATAAATGATTCATCCACACTATGCAACTAGAGACTGAACCTATCTGTGAATTAATGAACTCCCCATCAGAGCCCATTTGGGGCAACCTTTAGTAGAAATCATTCAGAGAATGCTGTATTTACACCAAACTCAAATCTACATTTCCCAATTTCAGCTGCCTTTGTTTTGCCTTTGGAAGACATTCAGAAACTGAATCATCAGAGTTTTTTGTCCTCTGACATCTCTTGAGGTATTTAAAGAAATATTTCATCTCATTGCATTTTCTGTTTTCCAGTGTATATGTTTCCAGCCATTCTAAGACATAAACCTTTTCATTATCTTAGATTCTGGTCCATCTCATCCCCTGGACCATGTTAAATGCCAATCCTTTTATTTCTACCATATTACTGTTTCTCACACCATCCCATCTGCTCCATCTCCACTGTTACCACACTACTTAAGTTTATGATACCCTTTCACAGAGATTGTTGCAACTGCCTCTTTAGCCTGCTCTCTCTCTCTTCTACTCATATATCTTTGAGTTCACCATCTACACTTGCAGTAAGAATGATTTTTCTAAAATGCAAATCTGTTCCCATCACTTGGATCCCCATTACTTACCAAATAAACTCTCCTTAGCATAGCATATGAAGACCTTCATGATATGACCTCTGATATGTTTCACCTTTACTCTCCAGTAATATTGAGCTTTTGGAGGCAGACTTGGAATGGTTATTTTAACAGTTGAAGTAGGACATGAGAATAGTCCTAATGAGGGTAGTGAGACTGGAGCTTAGAAATGGGCTAGATTTGGAAGGCCCTTCAAAGTTAAACTCCAAAGGAAATGGTTCTCTTATCTCCACCATCCGAAGATGACCACCAGATTTCTGTTGTGATTGACAACAGTGATGTTGTTGTCATTCACTGAGACTGAGACGCCCCAGAAGGAGCAGGCTGTGGGGACTGGGGTTGTCCAAGATGGGTGAGCACACTTTTCAGTGAGAAGTAGGGACCATGTAGCATGCACAGAAGCAAGGGGCCATGGGGGATATGCTACTGGAGGCTGTACAGCAATAATGCAGCCTTGTATGTAATCAGCTTTTTTGTTGGCCAGAGGCATGCTTGGTTCTTATTAAGCTGCAAATTAAGTAAATTCTGGAGAGGAAAGAATAATAGAGCCCTGACCCCTATCTGACCTTGGACTGGGAAAACAGCTTCAAAACAGCCATCGTATGTGATTGGGGAAGATTGTTTTAATTGTCGTAAAGAAACATTCTATTTTGCTCAAAAAACTTGTGTGTTTATCCTTTAATCATGAAGGATGCCTCTGGGTGCAGCAAGTCTTCATAACTTGTTTTACTTTCCATGAGTAGGAGGTCACCCATAAAGGAAGGAGAATGGTTCATTATTTGGCATAGGAATAAGAGTTTGGCCAGAATAATACCTATGTCTCCAAGAACAGTAGAACATCACATAGTGACCTCATTGGTGGCCAGTTGAAGTCAAAAAGTCAGAGTAATCCATTTTAATAGTGAAAGCCACATTTTGTTATAACAGGTACTAACACATGATCAATAATTATACAAAAATATGTTCTTAAGCTAGAGACATTAAGGTCCAGACAAGTTAAATAGTTTGTCTGTGGTCACATTTCTGTTGGGTATAAAAACAGACCCTGAACCCAGATCTGTCTGACTCATCGAACATGGCCTCCTTATGCCCTTCAAAACAATAAAAAGGTTAGGAAATTGGTTTGGCTTATTAAGTAGCTGTGTGCAGAGATATGTAGGGGCAAGAGTACACAATAATTTGCCACAAGACCTGAGTTTAGGTGTAGGGACAAGAGTTACTTTCTCTTAACTATGTAATTCTAAGCAACCCACTTCATCTATTTTGCACCTGCAACGTAAGACTATTGCCTTTTTGCCTAATGATTTTGCTTTGATGTTCAAGCAAGAACAGTTAAATAAAAATGATTTATAAGCTTTAAAACCTTATACACATATGCAGAGATATTAGCCATGATAATTCTTGCTTATTATGATTGTGATTATTATAATAGCAGTCTTTTCCTTTTCCTCTGAGCCCCAATTACCACAACCATAAAACGTTTAGATTTCACCAAATAGTTTCTAGGACCCTCTGAGCTCTATTAGCAAAGAATCATGAGATTTTTAAGTATAGAAATTAAGGGTCTAGGGTGTAAGAAACACTGGGGAGACCTCCTTTGGCTGAGACTATTGCAATGTAAACTGAAAACAAGGTGCTGTCAAATACTGTCAACTTAACAACCTTGATTAAAACTCAAAGAATAAAGCCATCAAAACCCCAGAAAACCAATCTAGAAAACAAATTTGTCCAATTAGTTTAGAAAATCAGTTCACACGCGCTTTGGGGCCACCTAAATAGGATTACATTTGTGCGTGATTGACAATGAGCATTAAGCCATAGATGGAAGCTTGCCCTGGGCTAGAGAGGGTGATAATATGGAAGACTTTATTGCCTGAAGAGTCTCCCCTACTGTAGCCTTCACCCATGAAAACTTCACTTTAGGTAGATTGTAGAGATGTGTACATTTTAAAGGCTTTAAGGCATTCTCCTGTGAAAAGTCAATGTGTCATATTTATCCCTCATGTTGCTATAGCTATGGTCCTTTTCTAAGCACTTTCGCATCCATTTGCTCATTTGAACACAGCATGACCCTGTGGAGGGTCCCGGCTGAGAAGCATGAAGGGTGGGATGGGGCCCAAAGCCTGCCACCTACTTGCAGTGTGGGACTCAGAGGAGTCTGAGTTTAGCTCAGGATTCCTTTCAGGAGGACTTCCCTGATTATCTTTTCACAGGACAGCCTCTTCATTTCTGTAAGCACCAGGCAATCTATTGAGTACTTTGAGGAACTTCAAATGAGCTAATGGCCCTGTTGTGGTCAGGAGTGCTGGCCTCAGGATCCCTGGGTTCAAATTCCTAGTATCACTACATCCTGGTGCCATCTTGCAAGAAGAACCTAACTTCTCTATGTTTCAGATTTCTTGTCTTAAAGGGACAAAATTATATCTACCTTGTTGAGTTTTATTTTTTTGAGATGGAGTCTTGCTCTGTCGCCAGGCTGGAATGCAGTGGCACCATCTCGGCTCACTGCAACCTCCAACTCCCTGGTTCAAGTGATTCTCCTGCCTCAGCCTCCTGGGTAGCTGGGATTATAGGCATGTGCCACCATGCCCAGCTGATTTTTGTATTTTTAATAGAGATGGGGTTTCACCATGTTGGCCAGGATGGCCTTTATCTCCTGACCTCATGATCTGCCCACTTCAGCCTCCCCAAGTGCTGGGACTACAGGTGTGATCTACCATGCCTGGCCTTAATAAAAATGAAAAGACATAATCCATTGAAATTATTTACATTAGGGTTTCTCAACATCCACACAACTGGCATTTTGGACTAGACAATTCTTTGTTGCTGGGAACTGTCCTATGTACTGCAGGATGTTTAGCAGCATCACTGGCCTCTACCCACCAGATGCCATAGCACTCCAAAAATGTCTCAGACATTTTCAAATGTTTCAGGGGTTGGGGGGCAAAATTAATTTCCATTGAAAACCACTGCTTAGGCTGGCACAGTGTCTCACACCTGTAATCCCAGCACTTTGGGAGGGTGAGGCAGGCAGATCACTTGAGGTCAGGAGTTCAAGACCAGCCTGGCCAACATGGTGAAAGCCTATCTCTACTAAAAATACAATAAAAGAAAACCAGGCTTGGTAGTGGGCACCTGTAATCCTCCTGTAATCCTAGGTACTCGGGAGGCTGAGGTACGAGAATGCTTGAGCCTGGGAAGTGGAGGTTGCAGTGAGCCGAAATCACACCACTGTGCTCCAGTCTGGGCAATATAGTGAGACTCTGCCTCATGAAAAAAAAGCCTAATAATAGCTCAGTGAATGTTAACTATTACTGTAATTTGTATTATTGTGTTGTGATTATTAATGTCTTCTGAAGATGAAGTACAAATCTCCCCATTCTATGCTACTATAGAGAAGAAAGAATTCAGTTTTTAAAGCTGAGATAAATCAAATAATTCTAGCATCACAGATTTGCTGGTACTAGTTCCCCCGTGTATTAAATAGGCACAATGTGGCTATTTCTTAAGCTAGTTGAAGATTCAGTGAGCAAGCGCAGATCAAACAGCCTGGTGCTGAAGAGTAGATCAGTGGCTGTTACCTGAATCATACTGTTTTGTCCCTTTGAGGAGGGGTGCTCTGGAAAGAGCCCCTGCCAGCCTCAGAGGAAGGGACATTGCTGGGCAGCAGGTCACATGCAGTGCTTGTCTCAACAAAGCAAAGTAACATGTGGCAAGCACAGCTGGGGGCAGCTGTTCCCTCGTTCCCTGAGGATAAAGCCCTGCTCTGTGGATGAGCATTTTTTGGCACCAGGATAGACACAGCTAAGCCTAACTGGTTATCTGCCAGGCTTGAAGCTGGCCCAACCTTGCCCACCCATCTGCAATTCTTTCCTGATTAGGAAGAAAGTAAATTCACCTCTGAGTCCTCTGCGTGGGAACAAAGCTCTACTTTGCCTGACTTTCAAGATACACAATTAGGATTCCCCAAAGGTTATTGGTGTCAGACTGGCACACAGTAGGTGTTTAACATACTTTCTAAAACCTTTGATGATGCTAGTTTTATGTATCCTGCTTCACTTAATCCTCACACTAATCTTTTGGAGTCAATATTATTGAATTTTATAGATGAAGAAAAGGTTCAGAGGGTTAAGTGGATTTTCTAACAAAACATAACAAGCCGAGTGGTGAACCTTGCATTTGAACCCACATCTGTCTAACTCTGTGCCCTGTGATCTTTCTAATATTGCACCTGTAACGTACAAATCTGGGAAAGAAAAGTAAATCGGGAGGCTATTTCATGATTTTTTTTTTAACTCTCAAGCAGGTGAAAAGATTGCCCACTCACACAGACCCAAGTAACAGATTAGTCTCTCCAACTTCATTAGAAACAATTTTATTTCTCTGAATATTGTGTCTCATTGATTTGCCCTTTTTCCAGGCAGGCACAGTGTTAGAGGCTGAGAATTCTGATCTGAAAAGCCCAAGTCAAAGACCTCCCTGAATTTGAAAAGCCCACAGGAGAAAAACAAGAGATAATCCTTTGACATTTCTTTGCAAGATCCCAATTGTGGCAAATTTTGTGTTCCCAAGTGCTGTGGAGGCACAAGGCAGCAATGACCAGCTCTGTCTGTGAGAGTCAGAACTTCCCAGTCAAAGAGAAATGAACTGAATCTTAAAGGGGGAGCAGGAAGATGTGCACAGTGACTTGTCCCTGAGCCTGGTCCTGGTAAAGGGAACTTAATGTTTAAAGGCATAGTGATGTATAAAGCGGGTGTTTAGGGAGCAACAAGTAAGGCTATGTGGTTGGATTTTAACATCTGCCATTAGGATGCAGACACGGCTAAACATTTGCCAGGTCTTCCATAGCCCCCTAGTATGTCAGAGCCAGACATTCACAAGGTAACTGAAACCAGAGAAGGAACCTGGCCTGTTCAGGGACACTGGAGAGCAAACCTCACTCCTGATTCCCAGAACAACACTTCACCAAACTGAGCTGCCTCTTGTGTAATCACCCTCATTCTCGTTTGGAGCCACCGCCTATGTGTCTCCTGCCTGGCCCAGATTCCTGGGGTCTCAAACCACATGAGACCTCAGAAGGGTGCATTAGTCATTTGCATTACTATCCGACCAGCATAGTTTCCTGGCCATGAAGCCTCCTGGCTTTAGAGATGCGTAACATGTGCTCATTTCCCTGCAGGGTTCAGCTTCGTTTAAGCTCAAACAAATGAGAAATGCTATGAAAAAATGTACAGTCCTTGACCTTTGAGCTCTTCCAGTTGGCTGATGGCCTTGGGTGAATTCCTCCCCCATGAATCAAAGTCAGGAGCCAAGTTGCATTATTTTAAGGACTCCAGGCTCAATGCCTTTCCCCTGTTTGCACTGCTCTCTCATTCCCTCCAAGTCCTACTGAGTCTTTGAGGCTCAGGCCAAGTGCCATCTCCTCTGGAAGCCTTCTCCCATTCCACCTCTCCACAACATCTAGTCCAAAGCTATCACTCTCTTCTCTGAACTTCTAAAATACTGTCTCTAATATCTATTCCACACCCAGCATATTTTAATTAAAATGTGAAAAAGGAAAATACAAATTTATGTCTTGTTACTTCCCCAACATTATACACTCTGAAGGCTTCCCCAGCCATATGGCACTGTCTGTCTCAGGCCAGTGGCACATTGGCTTACTTCTACCTTTGGATTGATGTCATTCCTACCTCCCAACACACTGTTCTCACTTTGTTTTCCTTCTCTCCCCCTCCATATCCACTCATCTGGCTTTCCCTACTGGGCCTTAGTAGATATTGAACATTTAACCATGGGCTACAAGTTACCATGTGACCTGAGCTTCCCAGGATGAACTGACTGTTGTCTGGCCCATCAAGCCATAAAGTTGGGTGTGTTCATCAGCACTCTACCATCAAATGGAAGTGACGTATAGGAGATGGGGTTCAAACAAGCCCTGGAAGCATGAGTAAGTTATGTGAAGAAGTGACCCAAATGCCCATGGTCCTCACTCCTATGTTACCTTATATCTCCCAGCCTGCACCCTATATCCTCATGAAAAGTTTTCTGTGATGAGTTGACACCTTTACCTACTTCCTGAATGACTACAGAAGCCTCTGAACTGGTCCCCTTGACTCTAATCCCTTTTATTTCCTTTTCTCCACTATAACTTGCCAACATGATCTTCAAAAAATGCTGCCCTGAGCACATTGTTCTCAGAAAGCTATGGCCCATTCCCACCCCTGTTGCTTGCAGAATTCCTGCTTACTATTCAAGGCCATGCTCATACTCTGCCTTCTGTTATCACTCCCCAGAGGGTACAGCTGGTTGGTGCTTCTCAAACATTATTCCCAAAGGACCCTTAAGGGCACAGAAAAGTGATCAAGTGTTCCTGAAGGTCCTAAAGGTAAAGCCTGAAACAGATCTCTATAAGAGTCCTTCCAAGACCAATGGATTATCTAAGAATTATGTCAACTTTACCTTTATTCTATGATATTTCTGGATGATTCAATATTACCTAATGTTATGTTACTTACATTTTCCTAGTAAATGTGATATTCTGTAAAAACATGCTGTCTTTATTCTCTAACTCTGTATATAGCACTGACAAGCCACCATTCCTCCCCCACATAAGTCTTTCCAAGTTTGAGAAACATGAGCCCTTGAGTACTTTTTTATTCTTCTATTTCTCTCGGGCATGGTTCTTTGCCTGAAAAGTTCAGGAAATTTCACACTATGCTACGGCAATATGCACAGGACAGTCCTAGGCATTTGGAGTGTTCATAGATTCTCCGTATCAATTAAAGATTGCTTAAAATTGAAGATAAGTCATGACTATACACAGTGATAATACTACTAAACATCATGCCAGGAATGACAACTTATATAGTGCTGACTAACCAAATACTTTCCTAAGCTCTTCATGTATATAAACACACTGAGTTCTGAGAACCATACCATGAAATAAATACTGCTAATATCCTCATTCCAAATACATGATAAGAAAACTGAGCTTGGCTTTGAAATAGGCATTCCAGCTCCAAAGACCATCACCTTAACCACTACATTAATACTTCTCAATTGTCATTAATATTAACATTATCAATAAGAGTAATAACAGTAATAGCAGTAATAGTAGTAGCTGCAGTAGCAGCTACAATCACAGTAACTGCCCACACACAAGCACACCCCTTAGAATTTAAATAAATCATATAAAATCTTCTTGAAATCCTGATAGTACAGATTTGTTTGCCATAAGACCTTCATAAACAACTGCTCTCTGAGCTCTATCTTCCTTTTCTACCCACAGAAGTTCAGGCAGAGGTCTCCCAAGATCCCTGTGGTTAGAAGTTTCAGTGACAGCATGCTGAAACTAGATTGCTATGCACACAAATTGAGGCGGCTCTGTGACTATAAGTATCATGGGCAATAAGAAGGTGAAAATTCAAAGATCTCAATGCTTCTGATTGACATTCAAGAATCCACTTTGGTCTGGCTCCTACTAACCAATAGGCAGTCCTTAAACTTGAAGTCCTTTACCAGAATAGAATACTTGTTGGCTAAATGCAGGCTGGTATGCCCAAATAAGTCATGGAATAAAAGGAAATAGGATGCAGCTGTGTGCTCCATCGACCTCCTCCTACCTCCCACACTAACCAGGTTCCAACAGTGGCTGGGTAAATGGGGCAAAATTGTTTCTTCATTGATTCTTAGGTAGGACAATATTAACTATTATCAAGTGCAACTGGGTTACCACTCAAACAGGAAATACGGGAGCAAATGGAAACTGCTCCTGGGTTTGATTCCAAGAAAAGACTCTTATCAAAAGAATGCAAGGGAGTCAATGTGGGCATGAAGGGGGTCACTGATGGTGTGTGGCCCTGTGCTGGATCTTTATAAATCACTGAGATCATTGATGTCAGTATAACACGTGTCCATTCCCAGAGGGGAAAGGATAGGGCAGTGCTGGGGCTGGAGTCAGTCAGTGGCAATAGGAGAAAGTCCTAGCAGAAGGGAAACACCTCCAAAGGTCTAGCAGTAGAAAAAGGGAGCCAGGGACAGACTAAGAGTTGTCTTTTAGCCACATCTCTCAATCAGCTAGAGGGAGATCTTTTAAATGGATGGGGGAGCAGTGATTAAGGTTAGGATTCTAAGATTAGGGGAAGAAGCAAGAAAAGACTTTAGGCTTGGATTTAATTAGATTAAATCCTCAGTCAAATGATGGTGACGTTACCTCTGTCACTGGGCCATCATTGATTCCTCAGTGTCCCAGATGAGGATACTGGTGCTCAGAGAGATAAGGTAACTTATCCAAGGTAATACAGAAACAAATGTGTGGCATCAGTATTTGGAGTAATATCCATCTGACCACAAGGCTCATTTTTTTAAAAAAATATATTCTAACAAGAAGTTCTGTTTCTGACCAAGGATATACTGTTCTTTAAAACTTTAAAAAGGTGATGGCTTAAAACACACTAGAAAGTTTAAATTTAAAGTTTCTGGTCCTTTGTATAAGACTATAAGATGTAGCTTCCTAAAATCTAAAGCTCTCAGAAGTGCCTTCATTACTGCACATGACTAGGTGAGCTGGTTCCTGGCCTCAGCAGGATGTGGGTGAGACTCGGGTCCATCAGACACATGTCCATTCCCAGAGTGGAAAGGATGGGGTAGTGCTGGGGCTGGAGTCAGTCAGTGGCAATAGGAGAAAGTCCTAGCAGAAGAGAAGCACCTCCAAATGTCCAGCAGTAGAAAAAGGGAGCCAGGGACAGACTGAGTTGTCTTTTAGCCACATCTCTCAATCAGCTGGAGGGAGATCTGTTAAATGGATGGGGGAACAGTGATTAAGGTACGGATTCTAAGATTAGGGGAAGAGCCAAAAAAAGACTTTAGGCTTGGATTTAACTGGATTCCCCCCCAAAAAAGTTACCAAAATGTGGTATCAGAAACACACACTAAGGCTAATTTTTTAGGAAGGTGAGCAGAGTCCGAATATCAAAAACAGGTCAAGGCAGGAAAGGGATAAGCAGAACAAGTAACTTGATGCACTTGAAATTCCAAATAAGGACTCCTTATGGTCTTGTATCTAGGGACAGCATGCATAGGATTCACCAAATGCTGGTATCAGAAAAGGCATTAGAGACAGAGAAAATAGCATCTACCAAAACATAAAGGCTTGAATGTATATGGCATTTTGGGAAATACTGGACCTGTGATTGAGGGAAGTAGTACTTGGAAAATGTCAGGTGGAAGCAAATTGCATAAGACCTTGAATGTCAAATTGCCTGGAATTGTCTTGTAAAAAGTCAACAAATCTGGGTAATGCTAACTGGCAGATGATAGAGGGCAAGAGGAAGACACAGGGCCCGTGGCTGGTGCTTAATAGAAAAAAAATGAATAGTATGATAAATTCTGCTGTAGGATGACACACACAGCAAATAAGTGAATTAAGATATTCAAGCTAGAAGAGATCTTGGAGACTAATTTCTTCATTTTATAGTTCAAGATACAAGTCTATAAAACAGGAACTCATGGTCATGTTAGGCAACTAGAACCTAGTGCTCTTTCCATTCCATTGTACTTTGAGATTGCAAGGTTAACAGAAAATTAATTGAGTTCTCAAAAATTTGATATTGTTAGTTATAAAAATAAATGAGAAAAAAAATCTAAGTTTCTTGTGGCCTGGGAGTGGGACTGAATAATAAAACTGAAAGCCAATTTTCTGACCTAATTTCAGAGTCCAAGAACTTGACCATGGACCGCCCTTGGCTCTTCTCCCCAACTTCTGCAGGTTGACCTCATGTGCATTTGATCCCTCGGTCTTCAAGCCTTTTAACTCAAAAATTGGCATAAAACATTGCAAAGTCAAAAATATAATTGCAAGAGATTTTCTGTTTTGCGTGGAAATGAAATCTAATTCCAGGAAACAGCTAGATGCCAAATCCAGGGAAAGGTAAGATCAATATGAAGATAAATCCATTCAAGTTACTAGCCACTTGCTGGTAACCCTAAACAGAGGAGTAGAAAACAAACTTTAATACCTGGGTTTCCCAAGAGAGCAAAGACCCACTGCTTATTTCCATTTATTTTCTCACCTACACTGGTGCCATAATTGAGGTAGAGATACTCGAAAGAGCAAATGGAGCCCAGAGGAGGAAGCCACCATTATTGGGGAGACCAGAAGGCTCACCAGAAGAGGTAACATTTGAATCTGTTTTTGAAAGATTAGAAGGTATTTCTCCTGACAAAAGACAAGAGGAAGGTTATTCCCAACAAAGGAAATAATTTATGCACAGACATAAAAGGGACAATTGAGTGGATGGCCAATATAGTTCAACATGACAAGAAAATGAGATTGAGAGTACGGAGAAAGAAAAGCATTTCAGGCTTGTGCAAGGGCAGACGTGTGGAAGAACATAGTGCGTCAGAACAATGTCAAATAGTTACATGTGGGTCGAGCCAAAGTACAAGAAGGAATATAGAGGGAAATAAGGCTGCAAAGGGGAGGGGTCAGGCCAAGGACGACTGTGAATACCTGGCTAAGGAATCTGCCTCTTATTCTGCAGCTGGGGACAGGAGTCCACTAAAAGTGTATGAGCACATTTGAAATGTGCTTTGGGGAAAACAGACTTTTCCTCAAGTTTCCTCACCTGCACCAACATCACCCTTCTCTGAGCAACTTACCACTAACAGGAAGACTGCTCATGGGACCCTTAACACTGCTAACTGGATTTGCCTCCTTTGTGCTGTGAACAGCTCGAAGGCAAGGATGAGGTCTAAATAAACTCTGTATCCTGGGCACCCAACACAGAGTCAGCCCCATGGGAATGCTTGTTGACTGAATGCAGGCTGGTGTGCCCAAATAAATCATGGAATAAAGGGAAATAGGATGCAGCTGTGTGTTCTGTTGACCTCCTCCCACCTCCCACACTGACCAGGTCCCAACAGTGGCTGGATAAGTGGGGCAACATTGTTTCTTCATTCTTTGGTAGGACAATATTAACTACTCTCAAGTGCCACTGGGTTACCACTCAAAAAGGGAACATGGGAACAAATGGACCCAGCTCCTTGGTGACTAGGGGGACGTATTTCCTGAGATCAGGACATCATGAATGCATCCCACTCCATTCCTCAGGCCCCACTTGGTTCTGCCCACACAGACTCCTATCCTGCAAAGCCAAGACATTTCTGATATTGAATGTAGCTGATTGAGTGTGAACATAGATGCCTTCCTGAGACCTATGTGTATCTAGCTCAAGGCGTAAGATCCTTCCAGACAAGTAGCTGTGCCAGATGGCAATACATCTATTATACATCTGTATTGGTTCTCGCAGCAACATTGCAAAGTCAGTCTTACTGTCCCCATTTTACAGGCAAGGGACCCAAAACCTAGAATGGTGGAGTGGTTCTCAACCCTGGTTATAACAGAGAATCACTTGAGGGATTGGTAAATACTAACGACCAGACCCCAGCCCAGATTGCTTGAATAAGAGTTTCTGGGGTGAGGCTCACACATCAGTGTCCAAGGTCACACTGCTGGTGAGTAGCAAACCCAGGACTGAAACTGAGCTTCCCCTAGCCTCAGTATCCTTTCCAAAGCCCCATTTGCAGTAAGCAAAATTCTGCTTGAGAATTGTCCCTGGGAGCTTTAGGTCTGGTGTAAACATTCAGAAGCTGGGTGGGAGGCAGAGAAGGGGACAGGAAAAAGGCGTTGCATCAATTTTCCAGTTCCCTAGGCTGCTTGCTTTTGATCTTAAACCAAAGGATTGATTTGTGGCTTCTGTGGCCCATTAACTGTTTAGATTCCTGTTCAGAACACAGCACAGTCTCTTTCCTGCCAAGCAGGGGTGTCCTGGCACTGGGGCCTTGCTCTTGTGTCTCTTTGATTGGGGCATTGCTAAGGGCAGTTTTGGCAGCTTTATGGGCTGCGTCTCAGGCTGCTGACGTGGCCGCCTGATGGATGGCCTGCCGTGCTGTGCTTCTGGGGCCATGCCCCTAACTTCACCGAAGGAACTTGCTTGGGCCATGTGTTTTGGCTTCTTTTTATGAGAAGATTTGTGTTCGCCCATGAATCACAGAGTAGCCATGCTAGAAAGAACCTTATAGATCATGTGATCCACGACCGCCACTATTATCACTCTCCAGACACTTCTCTGATGAGAAAATGGAAGTTTATTTGATAATTAAGTATTAATTATAAAGTTCAACAGAATAAAATATTTCTATACCAAGAAATTATTATAAAAATGTTTATTTCACATCAACTATATGCCAGAGACTTTACATATATTATGTTGCTTAATCCTAAGGGCCACTCATATTGCACAAATCCAGGGGGCACCATTTATCTCATAGAGTATATATTACTTTACAGATGTTCAAGAACCTCCTAGAATAGTGCTGTTCATAACTTGGGTGGCCATACCTGGTAGCCCTCTTAGGATTGCTGGCAACCTTATGAGGAAGCTGTCATTCCTGCAGTGGTTCCAAGTACTCAATACCTGTTTCCTTCTGCAGCAAAAATGGCTCATCACATGAAGATTACCAGCCAAGTGGGAAACAAGCACCACCTTTGAGATGTGTCATTATAATGTGTATCAGGCAGTTTTTGCTACATAACAAATCACCCCACAATGTAGAGGCTGAAAGCAATTAACTATCTGTTATTGCTCACAAATCTTTAGGTCAGCGGGGAAGTTCTGTGGATTTGGGCTCAGCTCAGCTGATCTTGGTTGAGCCTATTGATACATATTCACCACCTCATGTGTAAACCATCCCATTCTAGGATGGCCTTGGCTAGGGTGGCTAAGATAACTGGGCCTCTCTCCATGTGGTCTCCCTTCGGGAGGTTAGCCTGGGCTGTTCACATGAAGGTCAGAGTTTCAAAAGAACAAAGGGAGCAGGTAAAACCTCTTGAGGCCCAGGCTCAGGACTCATATAATCACTTCTGCTTCTCTGTTTGGCCAAAGCAAGACACAAAGCCAGTTCAGATTACAGGGGTAGAGTAATGAAGTCCACCTCTGAATGAGAGCAGGCACAAAAATTTGTGGCCATTTTGGTAACCTATTGTCCCTATAACTCAAAATTACAGAGTTATGGGTTAACTCTGTTAGAGAACATGGCTTAGGTTTCCATCTGAAAGTGGTATGACCTACACTTTCCCCATAATGTACCAGTCTGACCAGCAGCTGTCCAGTTACAAGAGGAAAAGCTGGAACACAGAACAAAAGATTGGGATTGTTGTCCAAAGCAGTGAGTTCATCTAATAGGAAGGGGTTAGTGTTTGACTTTCATTGGTACCTATCACTTTAGATATTCTGGTACATATCACGTTAGATACTCCTTTTCTCTTAAAGAGAAGTGTGTAAGGATCTGAAAGTCTATAGGTGTTCCATTTAGCACTGAGAGGGGAGTAGAATGTAAGTTCTTCCCTCTGTGGTTCAAGGTGGGAATGTGGGAAGAATAGAGGAGAGTGTCCCTTCCTGATCAACAACCCCCAAATCTAGACAAGGAAATGGAGGCTCGGGGAGATTAATATACATACCCAAGAACACACAGTTGACAAGGTTAGGCATACTACCCACATTGTGATACGAAGGCTGACTAAGATCAGCCTTGCTTGGGTTTCCATCCTTAATAGCTTCTAGCCTTCTGCTGAGGGCCCGACAAGGCTCTCAAAAGTACTGAGCAGCTAATTTGAGCTGAGCACCCTTCTAAACACCTTCATATAAATTAGAGCATAAAATCTTCACCACTCTGAATGACAAGCATGATTATCTTCATAATTAAGAACACAAAATGCAGGTAGAGATGTTTAAGATTACACAGTTAGTAAACGGGGTAATATGGACCTAATTTTGAATTCAGGCTCTCACCAAATTCAAATGCTTTCTTCATTATAGTGTATTTATTCAGTTTTCTTGTCATGCATAGTATGTGCCAGGCAAACAGGGTTATTTTTCTCCCCAAAAGATTGTTTTATTCTTTAGTTCTTGCTTTTGCTTTACCTGAAATGTACCAGCAACTACTTTTTTTATGATGTAAATTTCCCCATTCCCACATTCATTGGCTTCCCTAGCTCTACTTATAAGATCCTTATTTTTTAAAGACTAGCTCACATACCACCTTCTCCAATATCCAGAATTAAAATCTACTCTTCCTTCATCTTTCCAGTAGGAAATCATCTCTCCCACTCCGTGTTCCTACAACATCTCACTTCACACCACCATTATCATTTACTTGTTTATGTCTACTATTTACTTGTTTATGTCTACTATTTACTTGTTTATGTCTACTATGCCTTGAAAGCTTATTCACAGGACTCATCATTGTAACCTCAATGCCCAGAATATAGGTTTGTCATTGACTGGGAGGATAAAAGCAAAAAAAAAAAAAAATTAAAAAAGAAAAGAAAGAAACTACATGAGTTCCATGCTCAGGTGGCTGGTAGTGAGTAAATCCCCATTAGCTGCTAGCCAACCTGGGAAGACTGCCTGGAGGAAGGAAGCTGTGGGTCTGAAATCCTAAGAAACGTCTGAATTTCATCAGTGCTTTCAGCTCTTCTCATCCTTTTGGTCTCTGACATCTAACAGGCTTTGAAATTGCTTTGGTAGAAATCAATAGTTTGTCAAGCTTAGTCACAGCAGTTTTTGGAAAAGAGAAGGGAAAAAAGTGTGCAAAGACTGGTGTAATAATTTAAGTTTTATCCAAATAAGATGTTCCATGAAATGCGGAAGACTGCTTAAAGTGACACATTTCTGGCAGCTGCGATTGTCCCTGGGAAAGATAAAAGGAGGATGGGAAGAGAGCATTTTGTAGGAGCTCTCACCACTTCTAAACCAAGTCCCTTTTGTTTCTAATTCTCAGAGGAAAGAGGGGATGAGAATAAAGGTTTTCTAAAGATAAAACAGTAAATGTTCATGCCGTGTGTGTCAGGCATCTGATCAATTCTAGCATGTGTATGTCACTTTATAATCTATAAAGTGTTTTCCATCTATTTTCTTATCTTATAATAAGTCTATAGAGTAGATAAACCCATTGATAATCAAGGAGTGCTGGAAGCTTAAATTCACAGTATAATTTAAATTTTTCATTGTCTTTTTTGAAGAGACTTTTATCATGACGCATGTTTTCTTTACGATGACCTTTGATTTTTCTTCCAAGACATAAAGACTAGTTCTTTGAAGACAACTCTCCCCCACCAGGCGATCTAATCCAAAGGAAGTGATCCAAGACACAAGAATAAAAGGAGCAAGATAAAGGCTTGAAGTAAAAGAAACATTTCTGGCCCTAGATTCTATTCTGGGTTTGCCTGTGACCCACTGCATGGCTTTGAGCAAGTTGCTTCAATTGTCTTAAGTTTCCCAGCCAGAGAGTTAACTATTTTCTCCTCTCTGCTCCTAGAATATTTTCAACACTGTATTATAATTTAAATTTTATAACATGTATTATTTATGTTACCTCCTCAGAGAGACTTTCCCTGACCATCCCTGTGTACGGTGGTTTCTCCCACCATTATTCTGTCTCTGCCCCTCACTTGTGAACTTCATTACACTTATCATAATTGCTCTTTATTTTCTTTGTTTCCCTACTTACTTGGTAGAGGTTCTGGCTGACTCCCCATCTAGAATGCCAGCCTCATGAGGACGGTCTTGTTCACCAGGCCAGTGCCTTGGTGAAGTAGGTTCTCATATTAATGGAGTGGATGATGCCTTCTCTAGGAGAAAAAGAACTCTTCTTTGACTTCTCTGTTGGCCCAGAGTTCTCTGTTGGCACAGAGCTGATTCTCAATAAAGGAAGATGTTGAGGGGCGGGAATACGCCCCTGTCATCCCTCACCTCACACTGCAGCCTTGGCCTATGAAGGAGAGAACAACTCTTATCCTTGTACTCAGTGCCTCTGCCCCTTACCAGTTTCTTCCCAGAGGAGGAGGAATTGTCCACCTGGTTGGATAGACCCTGACAGTGCCGTACCCTGAACTGTGAGTGGGTAATGACACACCATGGAAATGCAGTGTGCAGCTGTGAACACATCCTATTGTGCTTCCTGAGGCATGAGGAGGAACAGGAGGCTCTTCCCCCCCGCCCTTTTGGGTCCAAGCATGCTGAACTATTGTCCATTTCCTGTCTGCCTACAGTAAGCATCTGCCAGGGAGACATCCCTCAACTATTCTCCCATGTGACCTTTGTTAAGGTGAAAGGATCAGGCAAGACATCCTCATTCTTGTGGCTGTTTAGGTAAGTAAACCTGGGATTGGCTTCACTAAACCACATATCTTTCTTTGTAGATCTGAAATTGTAGACTCAATTCTAAGTCCAGGATGGGAAGGAAGGCATGTTTCAGTTTGCACCACTTTCTCCAATACATCCTTTACCACTGTTTTGCAGTGAGGTATTATATGATTGCCCAGACATTAACAAACTTGGAATTTTATTTTTTGTTTTGTTATGAATGTGTCTATAGTGTACCCCCAGAAGGCAGGAGAGATAATTCTGAGGACTTGAGCACTAAACTGGACCCCCAGTCCCCAAGAGTGCTTTGTTTTTCTGTGTATGGTTCCAGACAATTTGTATCCCAAAAATGCAGAATTGCTGAGTGTTGAGTAAGAGACTCTAAATGTGAAGATCATCCTAGGTGACTCCTATACACTTTGAAGTTTGAAACCATGTCCTAGCAATTGGCTGAATAAATCTGAGTTTGACAGATGGACCTCATAGATTGATTAGCCTGCTCTGAGATCATAAGTTTACTGCCTCACTCTCAAGTGACAATCCAATTAGCAAGAGGGGGTTGCTAATTGAAGACTTATGGTCTTTGGCATTAGACCTACAAGAGTTGGCCACAGCACAGCTGTCCCCTAGCTGTACAACCTTAAGCTGGGTACTGAATCTCCCTGCATATCAGTTTCTTCAACTTGTAAAACAAGAAGAATAGTACACATTTCTCAAGGAGGGTGTAAAGATTGCTAGTAACATATGTGCAGTTTTTGAGGCATACCAGTAATTAATGAATATATTATGAAAGAAAATGAACAAAAAATAACCTCCAACCCTATAGGGCAAAGAGATAGAATGATGGGAGATATCTTGTACTGTGAAGTCTATAGGAGGCTTTGAACTTTTATCCAGATTCTGGAGTAAACAAATGCAAAGACACACTTGGACATGACCACACACCAAGGCCATTGCTACAAAATAGAATACAATCTATTGTGATCACTGATACATCTGAACCAATTCTGTTTTTTTTCCAGCTGACCTCTACCAAGACCTTATGGCAGGAATGTCATGTTTCCATAACCTTGAAGATACCAAGTATATTATCTGCTCTGCAAAGAGATAAAGTACACAAGGCCTCCTTGTTTCATCTTAGAAACTTCAGTTAATAGAGATCAGTAAAGCTAATTGGAGCTCATTAGTTGTAGAGGCCAAGTATTCTCATAGAAAAATTATTCCCAGGCCACAATTAGAGAATGTCAATGCTAGAAGATATTGAAGGGTGATTTTTTAAAAATTCAACCCCCTTTTTTTTTACAGATGAAAAACAGGCCCAGAAAGGGGAAGTGACTGGCTGCAGGTCAGCCATGTCACCCACTTCTGATTAGACCTAGAGTCAGGAACTAGCTGGAAGTCAGGGCTCCATCACAGCTAACCACAGCAAGCCATGGTGCAAGACCTGGGCAAAGTTCTAGAAATCCACACAGAAAATATGAAAGAAAAGCAGTTTCCCTGGTGTGGCTTGGTCCTCGACTGGGAGGGAGAACTCTGCACTTTTGCCACACAAAGCCTGGTTGCTCATCTTTTCCCCATAGGAAACCACAGAAGCCCCTTTATTGTTGGGAGCTGGTGGGGACCCAATACGTTCTTTCCCCAGGAGATCAGTTCCTAGGAAGCCATAAACCAGTCTTTTCATTTTATTTAGGCCTCACAATTATCCATAGAGATGGGCATCCTCATTCCAAACCAGCAGAGGAACAGACAGAAAGCTGCAAATGTCTCTGAGCCTCCCTGTCTCATGGCTCAGGGTGGCCAGCCCCGACTGGAAGCATAGCTACCTAGTTCTGAGGGCCTTCTGTTCTCACCATACCCTGCTGCCCATGCATATTGCTTATCTCAATAATACAAACCATGTTTATTTGTTTGCTTGCTTTATTTGTTTCTCCGATAGAAAATATGCTCAATGGGGGCAGGGGGATCTTGCCTGTCTTGTTATTTAGCATTTCCTTAGGCCTTTGGGCAATGGTGGATACTTCTGTAGGTGTTCAGGAAGGGGAAGATAGAGGACAGGGAAAGGAGGAGGGAGAAAAGGAGGAAGGATAGAGAGGAATAAAGGAAGAAATTCTGCCTAGGTGCCCTGTACCTCTATTTTCTGTTCTAGAATCGGATCATTATAATGACAACCCCTCTAGTGTGCACAACTTCTACCATTTATAAAATGTTTTGGCATTCTTTGGATTCTCCCTATAACCCTGTAAAGTAGAAAGAGAAGCGCTCTTTATCCCGATTCTATAGATACATTCACAAATTGATCATCTCCTGAGAACTGCCAAGTACTAACAACCGTGATAGCCACGGATGCACCCATGACCATAATAACCTGGTTCTCATGGGGATTTCTTTTGACCTGTCTCCCAAAATAGAGTATTGCAGGCAACAGGAAGGCCATAATGGCGCTGTGTTCACAGAGAGGGATTTGCTCTTTGAGTCTTCCCCAAGCTCCATGCTCCAAACAAGGTGGAACCTTGAGATGAGTTTTAGAAGGGTATGTGCAGAAGGAACAGTGCATACAAAGGTGTACACATTTGAGAAGTGTGGGGCCTTCCAGCAATGTGTCTGCCACCTAAGGTGCCTGCAGAAGAGCAGAGGCACTGGCCTTGGAACAGAGAGCAGTGACCAGACCTCAGAGAGCCCTCAATGCCAGGTGAATAAGCTTGGACTTCAGCCTGGAGACATAGGGACCACTGATGTGTATACACCAGAAAGTGGCCACATCTGATCTTCAAGTCAGAAGATCACTTTCAAGGAGGCAGTAGAGAAGATAGAAAGGAGAAGGGAAAGGCAGAAAGGGCAGTGAGAACAATTCCAGGGCTGGAAGGATCATCCTGGAGAGAGAGAGGAAGAGAGTCTGCACCAGGCAGCCCTGGGACTCTGCAGCAGAGAGACTCAGGTAGAGTCAACAACAGAATGGGCTGTGCTTCTGGGAGAGGAGAGATCTGCCCAGGGTCTCCATAGAAAATAGATGGTAAACCTTGGTCTTCTGTATCCTGGGTCAAAATTCTTCCCATTGCAGGGCAAGTGCTGCCTCACACATGAACCTTCTGGTCAGTTCCCCCAAGGAGTACTGCGTTCCCCAGGAGCCTACCTTCTGCTCAGCTACCAGCTCCTGGCCCTATCCCTCCCTGCCTCTGCTTACCACCACAAATAAAAGCTTCTTTACCTTCCAGGGAGTGTTAGAGATTACAAAGCTGCCAGCCATAGGCAACAATGTCCTCTACCCTTGAGGGTTAATGTGGGCCACTACCACCTACTGAGGTACCTCCTGTTCATTCATTCATTCAACATTTATCTTGTTTATTTTGTACTGAGCACAGGGATCCATTTGGCCTCTCAGAACTTCTCTACAGTTGTCCTTTTGAAGATTTGTTTAATGCTAAAGCTCAAAGAGACTTCTGAGCTTTACTTGGGCTCATGGTAGCCATGTGAAGTGTCCAGGGCCACAGCAAGCGGGTTAACAGCTCAAGTCCTGAACTCACTTCCAACCCCATGGGATTTCCAATGACCTCTTAGTGGCCTAGGCAATTAGGACTTCATCTTCGGTCTGATCAAAACAGAATGGTTTTCATGACAGGAACAGGGAGGATGTTGACCTACAGAGGATCCAACAGGGGAGTGACTGTCCTCGGTCCCTAGGAGAGACAATGGAAGATCTGGTTGCTCGACACCATGCACACCAGCAGCACTCTGATACATATGGTGTTTATCCTTTCCTCATTCTTTGGTGATGTGCTCGTTGATGAGCTGTGGAGCATATCCAGAATGTTTTTGGAGCTGTTAGCTATTATGTCCTAAAAAATAATAAATTGCACACTGTGGCTCTGTTTCTTTCTTTCAAAGCAACTGGAGAGCTAAAAATACCAAGCTCCTTCCAGGGCCCACATAGTGTCAGAGTTACCACCAACGGGAGGGTCCCACTGGCCCTGGAGACCTTGTTGACTTTGAAAAGCTCACTCAGCACCAGCTGGGAGCCCTCCTGGCCCCAGTGTCTCCTGGACACCCAGCCGGGCAGGCTCCTCTGTGCCGACACAGACAGCAGGCTGCCCGTTGTTGGCAGATCACAGAGCTGCACCCCCAGCCCATGGCCTGCCCGCTCCTTGGGCCACCAGGTCTGTGTTTATTATTCCAGATGATAAAGCATACTGTCCTGAGGAGTTCAAAGCCCCAAATAACACACTGGCTCATGGGCAGGAAAGTTGCCATTGTTCATTTCCTAGAGCTGTAGGCTAACCTCTTGCTCCCTTCCCTCTTCTTCTCTTCCTTCCCTTCCTCTCTCTTCCACTCCTCTCTTCTCTCTCTCTAGCCTATTTTCTTCTTTCCTTCTCAGGCCTTATCCCCTATTCTTCTCTTGGTCTCTCCCTTTTCTTTTCTCTCTAGAGCCCCTGGGGCATATGGGTAGAAAATAGTTTGAAAACCCCTGGGTTAGAGGCTAAGGGCCTTCTTCCCACTGAGATTGTCTAAGAGTCATTCCTTTCCATTCTGTCTTAGGCCACAAGTTTTGAATGACAGTTTAAAAGGTGGGTGCTAAGTGATAAATGTCTAGCTTTCAGACCAGGGGACAGAAATCCTTGGCCCGGTCTGCCTAGGATCTTAATATATTAAAAGGCATGAAAAGAAACGGGAATATCTATAGGTAGTGAAATTGACCAGAAAGACAATTCTGCAGCCTTGCTAGATTTGTGATTATAGGGAAATTATTTCTCTGTGGGCCTCAGTTTCAAATATGTCTAAAGGAGTTAGGAATCCCTGTCTTGCTTTCTTTCGGGAAGGATTAAAATCACCTAAGATCATAGGAAAATTCTTTGGTGCCTATGCCAGAGTATAGTAATATTATTACAGGCAACATACTACCCATGTTTATTGTGAGAATAAAATGAGGCTGTATATAAACTCTCTCATATACTGTCAGGCACAAACATTAGCTACAATTATTTGCCATTGAATAGGTCCCCAAAAAAGCAGGCTGAGATGGAGATGTTCAAGCAGAAACTATATTAGAGAGTGCTTTCGGGATGCTCAGATGAGACTGGGAAGGGTAGGAAGCAGAGTCAGGCAGAGGAAGAAATAAATTTCAGTGCAGCCTCAACACATGTTCAGCCAACATTAAAGAAAGCTCTGAAGCCGAATGGTCTTTAAGAGTTGCCCTAAATGAAGATAAGGGGTCAGGCATTTATACCTCCGCAAAGTTTAGTCACTAGACATGGGCTGTCCCAGAAAAGGGGTGTGATCTTGGGAGAAGCAGCGCTCTTCAACTGCTACAATCCTCAAAGGGGACTAAGAGTTGAGGGTTGTCTGCTGGCAGCCCTCTCACCAACTGGAGGAATAACTTCAGTTGCTCTCCTCTTTAGAACAGAGCAGAGGTCTGAGCCATGCATCCCAGTGTCTCCTACATCATCATTATTATGTAAATTATACATTATATATTATATAAATCATACATTATATAAATTAGTGATTTATTTTATTGCCTCATAGCTGAAAAAATCTGATATTGGCCTGAGTCTGTAATTACAAGAGAGATGTAGGACAATTATTTCTACCTAAAAAACCAGTAACTACTACCAGTTCCCAATGGAACATGTCAGACTGACTGATACAATAGGTCCACAACATAGAATCATGATTTACAACCTTCCTAATGTTCTCCCAGCCTTGTGCTCTCTGTCATACCCTACTGGCCAATTCTATGTACTGCCTCTTGGGTTTGTTCTTTCTACTCTGATTCTGTCACTCTACTACTTAAACACAACCAACGGCTTCCATCTCCTAAGGAAACAGTCAAGATTCCTCTTTACAACCTGGTCTCACTCTGCCTTGATAGCTTCTTTCCCCACCTCTCCTTCCATCCCTCCACCTCTTGACCCCTGCAGCCTTCATACATTCCAGGGCAGCCCTGTGCCCTTGTCTGGAATTCCCTCCCCAAGTCTTCCTCAGGATGGATTGCTACATATTCTCTGAAGCCCAGCCCAAATGACTTTTCCTTTGTGCTTCCTCTGTGATCTGTCTTCACCTTGATTATAACACCTAGATAAAGGAATAATCAAACAGACTCAATGTGAAGCTTCTGATACTAGATAGAAACAGGGCACTGTGATGAAGAATTAGCTTGGCTTTAAGGCCAATTGACCTTAGTACCAATCTATCCTACTGTTTCCTGACTTTAAGCTGTTAAGCAAATTATAAGGACTCAGGCTGTTTCCTTACCAGATAATCATAATAATACCTACTTCAGAGGACTGTTGTGAAGAGGAAATGAGAAGACAGCTGTAAAATACACAGCTAAGTGACTGGCATGGAGTCAGTGCTCCACACACCATACCTGCTGCTGGGGGACAGGAAAGAGGGGAAGTCCTCCATTTCTGCATTTTCTTCTCTGGGCATCTAGATACTCACTAGACTGTAAGCTCCCGGAGGGCAAGGTCACAACTCCTTACTCATAATTACCTTCCTAGTGCATAATTCAGTGTCTAACTAATGTATATTTAAATATATTATGTTTAAATATATTTAAAATATTCTAGAAATGCTGAAATATATGGATTTGAATTGAATTCCTTAAGGTTTTCAATGCAAAGGACCTATCTCTCACTTTTAGAGAAGAGCAAAATAGAAATCCCATAAGATGGTGACCAGACCTGCAGCCTTGGCAAATAGACAAAGGAAGGAAAAACTGGCCTGCCACAATGAGGAACACCCCATCTATCTTCTTTTCAAGGCAGCTGTACTCTGTAGTGAGGCAGCCATGCTGGACAATTTCAGACTAAACACATATACATCATTGTCTCCATGTTAGATGCTCATGTGTCCGCAGGGCTCCTGGGGACAGTACATAGGACTGAGACCACCTCAAAGTAATTTTGAATACACATCCCTGTCATCTTCCTGTCACTTCTTGGAGCAGCTTTAGGGTACATCCATGGGGCAATGATTCCACATTCAACTAATCCTTCATGACTTGGGCTCAAGCCAGCTCACCAGATCCTGGCCCTAGGAAGAGAGCAAATTGTGTGGTTGCCATGAATTCCACTGAGAAGAGTGTCACCTCTTGGCACTTTTAATTGTTCCTCCTAAGAAACATTTATGATACAATGATAGGTGTTTAGAGGAACTTACATTCAGATAGTAATTTACTTGAGAGGGAACAAAAGCCTTATAAACACTGTAAAAAAGAGAAAGGGAAAAGATTGCATTCTTCTCATCACTTGATACTGAACAAATATTTATTATATGTCTACCATGTGCCAGCTATTACCCTGGGCACTGGATGCCTAAGGAAATAAGACATCAACCCTGCCCACATGGAACTCACAGCTAAGCAGGCAGTGTAATAAGCACTATGGTCAAAACATGCAGATTAGGGCCCCCACTGCAGACTTGGGCAGGTTCCCAAGAAAATGGCAATCAAGCTGAGACCTGAGGGATCATCTCAGAGTTACTCATGTGAGAATGGTCAGGAGCAGAGGAGGGAAGAGTGTGTTCCCGTCAGAGGAAATGAGTGAGAAAGCACAGAGGTAAGAAAGAGCATTGGCTATTAAAACATGACATGTCTCTGCAGTGGGAGCATTGAGAATGCAGAGGAGTGATCATCGGGATGCTGCACAAATAGGCAAAGGCCCTACAGTGAAGGGACTTAGGAGCCATGCTGGATGCTCAGACCTTTTCCTAAGAGCGCTAAAGATCCAGTCCTTTAAGAAAGATCCTAACCAAAAATCCTCCATAGATGGATCCTGTCTGCCACATTCATTACTCAGGAGTCTCCTAAGTCCCAGCCCCTATGCCAGTCTTTACGTGCACTCTAAATCAGCAACTGACTCTAAGAGAACTTAAGAAAGCTTTCCTTTAGAGCTCACCTAAGTCTGAGAAAGTATGAGAAATAGGGGGGAAAAAGACTATTTTAATAGTTAATTTTATGTGCCAACTTTCTGTAATACAGAAACTCCCCCTGAGTTACCAGGCTGCTGTCCTGTCCCATGGATTTGAGACTCAAGATTACCACATCAACTCATAGCTGAATTTCCGGACTTCCAGCCTGCCCTGCAGATTTTGGACTTACCAGCCCCCATAACTGCATGAGCCAATTCCTTAAAATAAATCTGATTGATAGAGAAAATGCATGCAATGTATACACGCACACATGAATATATATGTATATATATGTGTATATATATGTTTGTGTGTGTATATATGTATACACATATATATACATATCCACACACATATACTATTGACTCTGTATCTCTGGAGAACCCTGATACAACTAAGATTCAGAAAACCTATTCCAAACTCCTCTCTTACCATTTAACCTCCCTGAAATTATTTTCTCATCAGCATGATGGGGACTAATCTCCCTCCCTTTCAGGACTGCTTTGAAGATTAACTGGGTATGTAAACACACATAGCAACATGGCTAGCACATACTAGGTGCTTCACAATTGTTTTTATCTTTCCTTGATTGATTTATGGGATAGATGCATACCCAAGGAAAGGGCATTTTCCTGCTGACACAGGCTGCCCTCGATGAAATCTGATCTAGAATGGGAAGTGCTAAACAAATAAAAAAGAGTTTGCTTTTGGAGTGTGATTGCCATTGTGATGGATGGCTGCTCCAAAGGCTATTTCTCAAGAGTTCACAGTAAAGAAAAATGTTCAGGTTTGATTTTATGTGTGTGTAGAAAATAAATTGTATGACAAGGGTGGCGACATTTGGATGGGGAAAGGGCTTAGCCAAGGAATTAAACATGTCAAGAGGCTCAGAATGAAAATAACATTGAAATGGAGGGTGAAAGGGGGCATATTTGGAAAGCTTGACAAGTGGCACAATTGGAGGAAAGGTGGCATTCTGGAATGGGATGTTGGCCGCTCTCTGCCACTAAAGCCATGGTCTGCCCTTAATAACTCAGCAAGGTGCAAAGGAAAAAACACGAGCTTAGGTTCCAAAGCTCTATTATCACAACTGGCTTAAATTATTGTTCCTTGCCTAATTAACCACAAAGCAACAGGGAGAGTTAAAACCAGGCAGGCCTTTTTATGGAATCTTTACCTAGGTAATCTCTCAGGTCTGTCAGCAAAACTCAACATTAGAAATGTCTGAGACACAGAGAAAATATCTGGGATAATGTGACACAGCACGTGAATGGAAAACCCAGGTCTAAAACCCCGTTCTGTGAGCTCCAAACCACAGCTTTTGTAAGAAACTAAAAGTACTATCTCGATAAAGATGGCAAAGGATTGCATTCAGCATACCAACTCTGATTGATTGATTAGGGCTAGGTTGAGGTGTGGGAGAGAGAATGCAGCCTCAGCATGAAAAGGGGGCATGATTGATTAGGGATGTCTGTCATGGGAGCCAGAGGGCCTGCAGGTAGGCCAAGAATTGTCATCCCTAACCTGGTCCAAACTTCTTTCCCCCCTATACCAAAGGTCAGCAAACATGCAGCCCATAGGCCACATCAGGCCCACTGTCTAGTTTTATAGATAAAGTCTTTTTGGAATGCAGCCCTCCTCATCATTTGCATATTGTCTATGGCTGCTTTTGCTTTACAACCACAGAGTTGAGTAGTTGCAACAGAGACTCTGTGGTCTGCAAAGCCTAAAATATATACAAACTGTCCCTTTGCAGGAAAAGTTTGCCAACAAACTCCTGTTCTAGAGCATACTGAGACCCAGATTGACTTGATTCCAGTGAGATAAGCGCATTCACTCATTCATTCATAGTTCATCATATATTTATTGCATGTCTAATATGTGCCAGAAACTATATTAAGTACAGTCACTACACACACACGCGTGCACACACACACACACATATATATATAATTATACATACACACATATCTCCAATCCATGTCAGCCTAAAGCTGTTTCTCTTCATAGTCACAGCACGGCTACCAGAGGCATTCTAGTCTATATGCTTCCTTGCTTATATGCAGCAGAAAAGAGGGAGAATCTTATCCTCCCTTCAATCTAATTAGGCTACTTAGGTCATAAGCCTAATCCAAATCTAATACTATTTGCTGGGGATATCCCATGCCCAGAGTGGTGTTACTAGACCACTGGAGGTGATGGTAGTTTCTCCTGAGTCATGTGTAAGAGAGATTAATGCTTACAAAAAATCAAGTTTCAATTAAGAACAAGAAGAGGGACGTGAATAATAAATGGACAACCACCAGTGCCCACTAAAGTGGCTACTGTGATAGTGCAGAAGAATAATGATCTTGGGTTAGGGATGAGCAGGAGAGAGAGAAAAAGGGAAGATTGGACCAAATACTGGAGATGGAAAATTTTGTGAGATTAGATGTGACAGTGGTAAGATAGAACAGAGTTGACTGTAGCAATGAGTCAATCACTTTTACCAACAAGGTGCAAGAATAGAAGGGTTGGGGAACTCTAAATCAGTACTTCTCAATCCTGCCGGCCTGTTAGAATCACTGGTACATTTTTATAAAATACTACATCTAGGACCCTCTCCAAATTGATTAAACCAAAACTTCTAGAAAAATATGTGGGTATTGGTGTTTTTGAAAAGCTCCCCAAGAAATTCAAATGTGTAGTCTGTATTGAGAACCACTGCCCTAAAGCATACAACTCTCATCAACCATCTCATCAACCTCCTCACTTTATGAATAGAAAAACCTGGGTCCTGCCCAATGTCACGCACTTCATCACATTTTCATTTCAGTTAAATTTTGTTTGTGTATCTACAGTGTGTCAGGAACAGGGCTATCTTACTGGAATCTAAAGTTAGCAGAGGATCTAACAATGACACATGGGGTGCAGAAATCTTGGGAAGGAGGCAGGACCACAACTCTGTCCCATGCGATAGAGTGAAAAGGAGGAGATTCTAGAGTCAGACCAACCAAGGTTCACTTCCTGGTTCTGCCCCTGTGAGGTCTTGGGCAAGTCACTTAAACAATGAGAGTCTTTTTAAACTCATTGCAAAGTGGGAACAATAGTGTCTACCTAGTGATGGTGTAGAGAGGGTTAACCAAGAGACTGAACAGAAAGCCTACAGAGGACATGAGAGGCACTTGAAAATTATTAGCACCTTTTAAGCAGTTTGAGGATGATTAGAGCTTGGTCTGGAAAATAACTCTGCAAGTGAACTGGAGGCCTTGCTGGCTGAGCTCCATGGGCCAGGGGCATATGAATTCACAGCATGATGAGCTATGATGATTTCAATTCAGGTTTTCCTAATGAAATGACATCTCTCTAAGATGACCGATCCCAGGAGAGAGCCCAATCTAAATTTAGAGGGTTTCAGAGTTCTTTTGAAAGCCCAGAAATGTGATCTATCTTCAGGCTTCATAGTTTCCAAGATCATCTGCAGTAGCCAAGCAGACCCTGGCGTTATCTCTCACTACATTTTGAGCCGTGAGTCACCGCGTCCATATAGTCTGTTTTGGGGCCGAGAGAGGCACTCCACTGGAGCCCCTCTCCCTGGAGCCCTCCAGCTTTCCACGATGATCAGCTGTCATTAGGAGAGGATGTGAGTGATTAGGAGCTTGCACATGTGCGTGTCAGTGCAAGGGACTCACTCATTCCCTCTACAAGAATCACCAAAAGCAATAACAAAGCTATGAGTGGCCTGGAGTGTGACATGATGCCAAGTAATCTGGGCCCTGGATCCCCAGGCCTGATTCACGATCATAACAAGCACACATCTTGCTTCCTTTGTAACTTTCGCCAATGAATATCTTGCCTGAAGCTTCCCAGTCAGAAAAAATAACTTTTATCCACAGGGAGAGGATTTCAGCTCCTTAGGGAAAAAAAAATTCAGACTAAAAATGTTAAAAAAGCAAAGCATCTCAAAAGTGATACATGGACTAAAAATGACATATATCTGGAGAAGGATAGAACAAATATATATTGAGTGCTTCTTAGGTGTCCTGCATTGAAATGATATATATGAAACATCACAATAAATTAGTTACCTCTCTGAGTACTAATTTCTTCATCTTATAGCTCTATTTTTATTGTATACCTCTAAGTTTGTCTTGAATTATAAAAATATTCGATAATAATAAAGAAAATGTATTAACCATGTACTCTGTGCCAGGTACTGTACTAATTATATTGAAAACATGCTAACACTGAATACAACAATACTCCCATGAAGCAGGGGTAGCCTAGAGAGATTGCACAAATGAGGAAGCCGAGGCTTCGAAGAGAGACTCATCCATCAGATGTCACATAGTAAGAGCGGAGCCAGTACAGTAAGCTGCCTGACTCCAAATCTCTTCCCCTGATAAATGCAGAAACGATAACTATGTAGCACTCTAATTTTTCTAAGCCTCAAAGTGGCAAATCAAGGGCTTCAACATGGGGTTTCCTGGCTCCAGGTCCACTGTAATTTCAATCTTTTTCCTTAACATGGCCTATAAAGTATGAAGCAGGGTCAAATGGCCAAGGAGGCTGGGCAAAGCTCTCTAAGGTTTCAGGGTGTTTAGGAGTCTCCTCTGGGGAGTGGCCCTTGGAAACATGAAGGCAAATAGGCCAGATCAGAGCTCGTGATGTAATGAGACACACTTCATAAATGGCAGCCCTGTACCAGGCATCTTGTCCTGCGCCATCTCATTTAGTCATCACTGCAATGCTATGAATTAGGTACAATTTTCTCTATTTTAGAGAAAACGGAGACCCACAAAAGTGGAATGATTCATCCAAGGTCACCTAGCTGGAATGTGACAGAGTTTCTATCAGAACAATAATTTCGTATCCATGTTACTGAAATTCCTTGAGGTCAGAAGCATATTTTGATATATTTATTTTCCTAGCACTTGTCATGGTGCCTGAAACATCCTCAACAATTGGAAGTTTATGTTTCTCTTTGACACTAACAATATTCATTCAAGAATATGCCTGGCATTATATTAGATGCTTTATAACATATCATTTTGTCACTGTTCAGAATAAGCCCATGAACTAGGTTTTAGATATACTTTTAAGAGGGTGAAACATAGAGAGACTAAGGTTAGGTCATTAGTACAAGATGCATGAAGAACTTAAATCCAGGTCCGTGCAACTCCAATACTGTGTGTTGCCCAAATCTGTGCACCTCTGCTCCTTGGAAGAATGCTGTGATCAGGTCTGACCCCTGGAACTTCCCAGTACCCACATCCTAAGTGCACTCAGCAGTCTGCCTCCATTGGCACTGTTCTGCCTCACAAAATGAGAACCCAGAGGATTCAAGGCAGGAACTGAGTTTGCCAAAACTTTCCAGGCTGTCTTAGTGTTCCTAGAGTCTGAAGTAAGAGTTATTGGAGCTTGGTGCTCCTTGTAAACTATTTTTATACCTGGAATGTGTTGGGAGCCAGCTGGCTGCTGCCACAGCTCAGATATCACCTGGCGCTTTCTTCTAAACTGGAGGAATAAATCACGTGGACAGCCAAGCCAGACTGTGTCTGTCTGGGTCTGTATCTGATAAGAAGCACTTGGCAACAAGTGAGCTGTATTTCATTTTCTGCAGAGCTGGCTATGTAAAAGGCATCAGCCAAGGGGATAAGAATCATCAGATTGCAAAACAGGAAGGTCCATCCAACCTCCCACTCTACAGGTAGAGCAACAGACCAAGAGCCTCAGGCTGACATATTGAGTTGCAAGATATGGAAATACATTCAGCTGAATGGAGAGTGCTGTATTGAAAATAGGGAAGGGAATTTTATGGAATCCACTTACAGGACAGACAACCAGAACACACAGAAACTGGGAAGTCCTCCCCCAGTGTTAGACATAGAGATACAGAGCTACAGAGACCAGCCTCATCCATGCCCTTGCCGGTAGCCCACATTCCATGATTAAGCAAGGTAGGGGATAAAGGCACAGTCCTTTCAACCTTACAATGAGCAACTCTGATGGGCAAACTTCACCCCAGATCACCTGCTGGGTTGGGTGAGGCTTTGTCAGGCCCCTAGGATGGCTTAACTTCTCCCTCTATCTAGTATTTCTTTTTCCAACTTCCTTTTCCATGTGTTGATCCTTAATAAACACCATGCACCCCAAACTCTAAGTATCTCCTTTGGACAACCCAACCTGCAAAACCCTGACTCTCTCTGGCCAAATGGTATTTTCTTTCTGCATTTCTTGGTTTGTCTGCTCTATTCAACAGTTCTCTTCCTTGTGAACTATCTTAGACTTTTCTTCTTGGGTATAACCCATCCTGGGACCCTCCATAAGGCCTACTCAGCAGCTGTGGCAAATTGTATTTTCCAAATTGACTACAGCAACATTTTCAATTCTACAAGTTCTTCCAGAAACTGGCCACCCCATATCAAGAGGCAGAGTCTATTTCTGGGCAGGGCTTTGTGACTGCCTTGATGAATAAAATGCAATGGAAGTGACATTTAATGACATCCGAGGCTAGGTCATAAAAGGAAGTATGATTCCACCTGCTTCTCTCTCTCTGGAGACACTCATTCTTGCAATCCAGCCACCATGTTGTGAAGAGGTCCAGACTAGCCCATGTGATCAGACCACATGGAAAGGTACTGAGGCTATCAGCTGACAGCTGGCATCAACAGCCAGACATGAGTAAATAAGGTTTTTCAATAATTCTAGCCTCCAACTTTTACATGTTCAACCTAAGACCCCAGATATAGTAGAACAGAAATAAGTTGTCCCCACTGTGCCCTTTCTAAATTCCAGACCCTCAGAATCCATGAGCTAAATAAATGGTTGACATACACTACTAAGGTAATTTGTTTTATAGCCAGGGGAAGAGAAATAGCCTTGAACTTCAGAGGACTTGGTCTTGTTTCCTACAGTCAACTGACTCCATCTCCAACTCTCAATTCCAAATTCCTTAGAGAAAGAAATCAAATGGACCCGGGATGGACACCAGACTCAGGTTGGGCCAGCAGCTTTGGCCATGTGGCCAGGAAGGCAGGTATTCAAATGTAACAGGCTTTGCTATTTGGAATCACTTCATTCATTAAAAAATTATTGCATGTACTATGCAAGTTATATGCTGGGTGACTACTGTGTTTATGGAAATGATTAAGATATTGTCCAGTCAGCATAAAGCTTATATGTAGATGAATCAGATGATAAACAAGAAAAAAATACATTCTTTTCCTAAGGTGGCATGTTGGAGTGATAGAGATTATCACTGGAATTTAATTTATTGGAGAGTCACAATGTGCCAGGGAGGAAAGGGCTATTACATATACTCCATCCAGATTCAGATTCAGCAAAAAAGCACTTATTGAACATCTATTATGAATCTCAGGGGCTATATCAGAAGGTATTTCTATACAGATGATCCTGCATGATGAATATTTGAACCTCTCAGCTTGTCTTGAACATAAGTCCAGAAGGGTGACATAATTGCTTGAATTTGGGCTCAGACCTGAACCTTCTGTGTACCATTTTTGTGATATCTCCCCACACCACACTGCCTCATACAGCATCCTCCAACATAGTTAAGAGGTGGAATGAGTCTGGTCTAAGATAAAGTAATACATAAGTACATGGGTTCTGGCCACAACCTGCCTAGATTCAACTAACTCTACCACATATTAGACACAGCTGACAAGGAGGCATTAAGGGACAAGTTTGGCCTCTCTGAGCCTCAGTCTCCTTGTCTGTAAAATTGGAAAATAATAGTACTGACCTCATTGAGCTCTTGCAAGGATAAGAGATAAAGCATATCATGAGCTTAAATCCTCTGTTATGACACACAGTAAGTGCTCAATAAATGTTAGCTCTTATGATCCACTTTGAGGGGCCAGAGGGTGTGTAGATTTTTAATCCTTAAATTAGAGTTCCCGATGGGGAAAGAAGCAGAAACAAAATTGGGAAAATTATGGAATATTTTCAAGAACAATATGCAATTTCATTTGACTAAAGCGTTAAGTAAATTGGTCTACTTTTTATTTTCCGCCTCTCTCACTAGAAAATCAGCTGCATGAGATAAAGGGCTTTGCTCCACCTACAGCAGTGCCTGTACATGGCAGGTATATAATAAAATTTTACTGACTAAATTAATGAGACTACTGTGCAGTCTTGTGCAAACTACCTCTCCACTCTGAGAATTAGCACCCTGCCTTCCAAAAAAGGGATAAGGACATCCTCTTCATGGGTTGCTGAGAGGCTTAAATGAGATAATCATGCAAATCCTGGCCCAAAGCAGGTGTTAAATACCTGCTAATTCTTTTTCCTTAGAGTTGTGTATCCAGTAGAAAGACAAAGTGGTGTGGGATAGACAATAAAAATGTAAAGAGGTGAATGAGGAGAGGGATTGGTGCGTGCTAGAGAAGTTTGGGACATCTTTCTGGAGGGAGCAGAATTAAAACTGGACCTTGAAAGGTGAAGCTACGCTGAGTTTGCATTGGAACCTCAGGCTGGACTCCAAACTCATAATGAGGCAGTGACAATGGTGCTCTGCATGTGCCACCCACCTGGCTCCCCATCAGAACCCCCAGGGAACAGATCTGTGTTAATGGAATGTGCCCTCCCTTCAAGCTTCTTAGGTTGTACACTTCTGGTACCAGAAATGGACACAAACTTTTTTTTTTTTTTTTTTTTGAGACGGAGTGTCGCTCTTTCGCCCAGGCTGGAGTGCAGTGGCGCTATCTCGGCTCACTGCAAGCTCTGCCTCCCAGGTTCATGACATTCTCCTGCCTCAGCCTCCTGAGTAGCTAGGACTACAGGCGCCTGCCACTGCGCCTGGCTAATTTTTTGTATTTTTAGTAGAGACGAGGTTTCACCGTGTTAGCCAGGATGGTCTCGATCTCCTGACCTCGTGATCCACCCGCCTCGGCCTCCCAAAGTGCTGGGATTACAGGCGTGAGCCACTGCGCCCAGCCCAAACCTTTTAATTAAGACACCAGTTTGCTATGTGGCCTGAGCAAGTCACTACACTTAGCTGAAGTTCAGTCTCCCCATCTGCAAGATAGAGAATTTGATGGATGAGCCCCAAGGGCCCTCTCAGCTTGGGCACTCTAGTCCATGGGCACTCACCCACCAGCCATCTCCTGAAGACATTAACAAATGCAATTATGTAATCATTTGCACACAGTGTTCTGTATGAAATTTGAAAGCAAACCCTGAAGAAAGATCTAAACTGATTTGATTCGAGACATAGTTTGGGAGTCAAGAAATATAGAGTTAACACAACAGAGGTGAAAGTTGAGCAGCTCTTGCCTTTTTTTTTGCCTTTACCTTTCCATAAAAGGAGGGAGCTGGGTGAAAGATAGGAAGGCACTTATGAGGCTTTTAGATAACGAGCTTATGACTCTCCTGGGCTAAGATCCTTCAGGAATAAATGCCAGGAGGGCTGATGAGTCCCTCAGTAGCCTGCCCATTTGGAAAACCTGTGGGGCTGTGGAATCTCGATCCACTGTGGACACACCAGGATGGCCTCACCACTGAGCTCATTCTCTGGCACATCCTCTGTTATGACAAAGGCCTTGGTGTACCCAAAAGACCTGCCCTAGGTCAGGGGCGTAGCTGTAGCACATCCAGCTAGCTTCAGCAGAATTGCCTAAACCTCAGGAATTATTTCCCTAGGAGCCAAGCTGATGCCAGTAATAAGGACGGATAGATAGTAACAACTCTCAAAATTTGCCAAGGGCAATGAGGAGGTACAAAGGATTCCTGATGTTGGAATGAAGAAACCTAGAGCCACACACCAGGCTTAGTCCCCACCAGCTATTTGTCCTTAGACAGGTGCTTCCCCTTTCTGATCACCCCTTTCTATGTCTCAGAAACAGAATGCAATGCTGCACACCTCCCAGTGGGCTTGCGAAGATCAAATGAGATCATAGATGGAATATTGTTAACACACATGGTTAAGACAATGTTTTAGATAGCTCATGTCTACAGAGCGCTTGACAATTTACAAAGCATGTTACTGTTAACACACATTTACGGCAGTTATCTCATGTTTTCCTGACAGTCCATAAGGAGCCAGGGTGAGCCTCATTATCTCCTCATCCCTTATCTGCTCCTCTCTCAGGGCACTTAGAACATTAAACCTTCAACTTTGTATTTTAGTTATTTATGCACATGTCTAATCTCCCTACCTTGAACAGAAGCCAGAGCAGGCACCAGGACTGACCATCTTTTCTCCACCCCACCTCCTCATCCATGCTCTGCCTTATATATGGTTGGACCTCAGTAAATAATGAATGTAGGAAAAAGGAGAGGGATAGGAGGAAGAGAAAAAGAGACGAGGAGGTCTATAATTGAGTCCTTGTCATAGTTAATTTTCATGGTATAAGTTAAGCCATCTACTATGGCAGTCACTAACTACGTAAGATGATTTTAATTTATGTTAATTGAAATTATATAAAATTAAACATTTCTTTCCTCCATTGCACTAGCCACATTTCAAGTACACAATAGCCACAGATGGCTAGAGCCTACTATATTGCACAATGCAGATATAGAACATTTCCATCATTGCAGAATGCTCTGTTCGATAGTGCTGGTATAGAAGAGAGAGCATGGACTCTGGAGTTAGACAAAACCGAGTTCCAATCCTGCCTCTGGGACCCATGCAAGTCATTACATAATGGTAAAGAGATCAATGCAACAAGAAGAGCTAACTATCCTAAATATATATGCACCCAATACGGGAGCACCCAGATTCATAAAGCAAGTTCTTAGAGACCTACAAAGAGACTCAGACTCCCACACAATAATAGTGAGAGAGTTTAACACCCCACTGTCAATATTAGGCAGATCAACGAGACAGAAAATTAACAAGGATATTCAGGACTTGAATTCAGCTCTGGAGCAAACAGACCTAATAGACAACCACAGAACTCTCCATCATGAATCAACAGAATACAGATTCTTCTCAGCACTTATTCTAAAACTGACCAAATAATTGGAAGTAAAACTCTTCTCAGCAAATGCAAATGAATGGAAATCATAACAGTCTCTCAGACCACAGTGCAAACAAATTAGAACTCAAGATTAAGAAACAGACTCAAAACTGCACAACTACATGGAAACTGAAAAACCTGCTCCTGAATGACTACTGGGTAAATAACGAAATTAAGGCGGAAATAATTAAGTTCTTTGAAACCAATGAGAATAAAGATACAATGTACCAGGATCTCTGCGACACATTTAAAGCAGTGTTTAGAGGGAAATTTATAGCACTAAATGCCCACAGGAGAAAGTGGGAAAGATCTAAAATCGACACCCTAACATCACAATTAGAAGACAAGAAATAGCTAAGATCAGTGCAGAACTCAAGGAGATAGAGACATGAAAAACTCTTCAAAAAAATCAATGAATGTAGGATCTGGTTTTTGAAATGATTAAAAATAGATAGATGGCTATCCAGACTAATAAAGATGAAAAGAGAGAAGAATCAAATAGACACAATAAAACATGATCATGGGACTATCACCACGGATCCCACAGAAATACAAACTACCATTTCATCTCTCTAAGCCTCAGTGTCGATATTTGTAAAATTAGGATGCTCACAGAGAAAATTATATCCCTGTCCCTCTCCCAGAGAGGATTAAACAAACTAATTTTTTTCACTTAAATATTATCAGTCCCTCTGTGTGGATGCTTCCATGTGATGTTAAAGATAATGGTAGAGCCAGAGGCTGGTGTTTACATCATGGGAAGTGGTGAAGCAGAGTGGAAAGAACCAGGCAGATGGGGCAGACAGACTGACATTAGAATCTTTCCACTTGCCTGTTACATGATCATAGAAAGATCCTCCAACCTATCCAGGTCTCATTATCTCCCTTTCCCAGGTGGAAAAAAAAACCAATTACATTATTTCATTCTTACTACATCCCTGTAAGTTAAATACATAAAGAACCTTGCTCAGCTCTGGCATATAGGAAATATTCAAAAACTAGAAAATTACTACATTAGTATAAAAAGACACATAGTTAAAACTTTTAGTATCTAACTGCTTCAGATATGATTTGCATTCCTTCTTTCTTTTTTATTCATTTATTAATTCCACATTTGTTAATGTATTAATCAGTAACTCAAATGTAAGCTTGAAGAGGTCAGAGATTTCTGTCTTGTTCATTGTTCTTACTCTGCCTTAAACAATGCCCAGTGCATGAGGAGTTCTCAATAGATTTCAATGAATTTCAACACTTGAACACAATCTGTAGGAATAATTAACTGACATTCCCTTTTCTGAATGTACAGACATGGTCTTGAGCTAAGTGACCATAGTTCCAAGTATATTCATTCATCCACTCATTCCCCAATTATTGAGTACATGCAGTGTGCCCAGCAGTTAACACCATGTCTGCCGATGAAAGGAGATGAAGGCAAGCTTTCTCTTTAGAAGCATTCTCACAGTGCACAAGCATACCATCCTCAGTCAGGGATATAGACAACTGCAGTGTGTATGGTAGAGTTAAGGAACGAAATGTCGAAACCTAGAGGAGGGAATGTCTCCTTCAACTGGAAGGAATCAGGAAAAAATTCTCAGTGGAGATTACATGTGAGCTGGAATCTCAAATAAGAGTGGACTCTCAGGTTCTCATTGACAATTACATGCCCTCTGGAGCCAGATTCAAAACCCATCTCCACCACTTCCCAGCTGAGTAACCATAAGATAAATTATCTTATTTATCTGTCCTTCAGATTCCCCCTCTGTAAAATGGAAACAGTTATACCATATGCTTTACAGAGTTGTTGTGAGAATGAAATGGAATTATCTATTAAAAATATAGCTCAGTGCTCAATAATATCACTTACACACCATTATTTGGGGGCTCAGAAGCATGCCTGATGAGAATGGAATGAGGCTAGTGCTTCCTCATAGCTGGAGCAGTGGCCCCATGAGGCAGAGAGGAGCAGACGGAAGAGAATCTGAGGCCAGGTCATGGAGGGCTTTGTAAGCAGGCAGAGTTAAACTTGATTTGAAAAGGAGTGAAGAACCATAAAAGGATGATAAGTAGCACGAAAAGTAGCATGTTCACATGTGCAGTTTCAAAATCTCTCTGGCTGTAGCATGAAGATGGAAGGGAGAGCAAGCCAGACTGAAGGCAGGCAGGAAGGGGAGGCCATTACACAAATTAAACCCAGAAATGCAGAGTAGGTCATGGAGGAAAGAGGAGAAAGGTCCCAGGGAAATGCAATTAATAGGCTTGGTCATGTTGTCACACTAGGTCTGGCAAGACAAGAAGGCTTGGTTAAATCCTTCTGATTTAACCCAGTAGAGCTTAACAAAAGGCCTCCTTGAGAGGTGTGGGCAGAGTTAAAGGAACAAACAAGGAACATGAGACATCCGGGCACAGGCAAAAGAAGGCGGATATTTCCACTGCAGACTTAAGAAGGCAAGGGGAGGCAACAGCATTTCCGCAGACCAGAGAAACCAGAAGCCAAGAAAGATGGTTGACTCAACAGGAGCCATTGCCATAGACAGGAATGCAGCCTCTGCGACCATGACCAGGCAAGGGGAAGAGGGGTAGGAAATAACATATCTAACCTCTCTCCCCATCCATTCTCTCATCTCCTGCCAGTGCTTTTTATTGGCCAAACCCAACTAGAAGCTGGAGGTCAGGAAGGCCTGGGTCATGTAGTCTGTAGATGTCAGCCTTCCTGTAAAAGCAGGTTAGAGAAAGGTAATAAAAACAATGGATTGGAGGGTGGGGGGGGATAGATAAAGGATCAATATCATAGTAATCAATTAGATGGGAGTGGAGAGTGGTTCAGAGGGTGAAGAGGAGGAATTATTTCTAACTAAGGAAATTACCCAATTAAATTGAAAGTAGAGGATTCAGATGGCTATTCAAGTAAATTACATTTAGGTTCCTGTTACCCCCAGAATCTGTATCTTCCTTCCCTTTCATTTTCATCTGCAAATATGATCTATTGCTAACTGCTTGGAAAATGTAGCCAGATTTGCTCCAGATGAGTATAATTTAATTGATACTATAGCTAAAAAACAACTGGTCTATAACATATTCTCAAAATCCTACACAAAGATAAGAATGGCCTGTGAAATGAAAACAAAAAGGTAGGGGAAGGAGAGCTCCTCACTGCTCTGCAAAAATTCTTTTTCTACAACCACCACTGGGAGCCAAAAATCTATGTGTAAAATTGTCCTAGCCCTTAAGACTCTGCCCTTTTCTGCCTGACACATGCAATTCCCTGTGTTCCTGAAAGGTTCCAGTGCTGGATGGATCGCACATGGGAGCACCAGACCACGGTGACGTGATCCTCTGAGTGAAGCTAAGGCAGACACACCCCAGAGATGGGGAAAACGCCTGGGGACCAGAAATTCTGTTACTACGGGAGTCACTGGAACTGTTGACAGCAACAGCCAAGCTTTCTTTCTGCAAAGTGCTCCCAGGAAGCCTTTACCAGCCTGGAGAGCTGAGGGGTTTTCATCACTAATTAACATGTTTTCCGCACTGGGGCCAGAAGTCGGACTAGCTAAGAGACACTGGGAGGCATGAAGGAGATGGACTGGCAGTTCTGGGCAAGCCTCAGCTTAGAATTTCACTTTGTGGAACTCAAAGAAAAGCCCAAGCTCCACTGGGGGTTTTCAAGGTCCTTCATGATCTGCTGCCTGCCCTGGCTCCCTTCTCCAGGTCACTACCCCAGCACTGCACACTAGCCTTAGCCCAACTAAACTACTGGCATTCTGTCCTTACACCCTGCAAGCTCCTTAGCATCTGGGCTTCTTCACATGCCTTTCCCTCTGCCTGAAATGCCCTTTTCTTCTTCTCTACATAAAAATCTACTTTTTATGTAAGAACATTCTCTAACTATGTTTAGATTTCTCCAGGAAGGCTCTGCAGAGGAGTTGTCGGGCACTGCTACTTCTATGCTTCTGTCATGCTTTGGACTGCCCTCTCAAGCAGCAAATTAGTAAATGCCTAATTGGGGCATGATGTACTGCTCCTCCTCAAGACCACTATCTGCTAAAAAGCAGGGTTGATGTTACAGTAACCCATGGTATTCATACCTTAGTACTGAGTCTATGCCAGAATAATAGCACAAGGTGCTCATAGCACAAAAGCTGATCATTATCCTATTGAACAATTATTTCCAGAAATTTCTTCCTGTTTTGTTTTATGAAATCTGGAGGGTGTAACTGATGGGTTAGTTTTACTTTCTGAAGCAATACATAAAGTTGATAATTCTCCTATTGAATGATTCTTTTCAGAAATTTCCTCCCATTTTCTGAAATCTGGAGCTTGTAACTGATGGGTTACAGTTTTGCTTTCTGAAGCCATACATAATAGTTTCTTTTGGTGCCACATGCCAGCCCTTCAGATCTTCCAGTACAGTGACCATGCCTCCATTAGGCTTACTCTCCACCACATTCTTTCTTTTAGCCTAAATTAGGTTTTGTGTAAAACATCACTTTTGAATTCAAACAGATTTGAACTTGGATATGAGCTCTGCCACTCCTAGCCCCAGTTTACTCATCATCAAATAGAGGTAAAAATATTGACTTTGCAGGAATATTGAGAAAGTTAAATAAAATATTGAGTAAAAAATGGCTAGCAAGAGTCCTGGCAGATATTGACATATCTGAAATATTTATTTAATGACTGAATAAATGAGTGAACTGGGGGGGTTTGTGTCATGTAGGTGGAGTCACATTTTAGACATCTAACTCTTATACTAGTTAAGAATCAATAAATAGTAGCTCTATGACATATACTTGCTAAGATATTAGGACAGAATACTGAACAAATAAGACATGCATGGTTTCTGCTTTAATTGCTCCTGGGGAAGTCACTGAACAAATAGTGATAAAGTAAGTATAATAAGTGGAAGAATAAACTTGCAGGTCACATAGCTGAGTTCATCTGAGCAGGTCAATGAAGGGCTTCCTGTGGAAGATGGTCTTGCATTAGAAAATAGAGTACTTAGACAATTGTTAATGTAATAATTATTTGCTCTTCATTCAGTCATTGTTTGTGTAGTTCTCTTGGGAACACTGTAGAAGAGAGAAGATAAATAAATTGGCTGGGCAAAAATATTGAACACTATAATATTATCAAAATTAAAAAACACAAAAGCCTCACCCCTAATCTCTGAAAGTTAACTGATTGGTAAATATGAAGGTAAATACACTAATTGGTAAATACACTGGGTCAGTGGTTCTTAAGTGACTATATATATAACACATTTCACAGGATGATGCCAAATTCTTGTCAATGCATAAAATTGATGTTTATTATAACTGGGATTATACATTATTCCTCCAATATCTCTAAGCTGATAGTTTGAACTCTGGAAATCAGGAAATCATATGTTCATGATGTCCAGTGGAGTGAGTGAAATTTGTTGTTTGTTCTGTCACCTCTTCTACTCAGTATTGTACTGCAAGGTTCTAGCCAGTGCAATAACTCAAGAGGAACAACAAAAAAAAGCATAAGAATGGCAAAGGAATAAATAAGATTGTTATTATACACAAGTGACATAATGGTGTATGTGGTACATGTAGAAAATCTAAATATATGGATGAATTATTAGAAGTGATGTGAATCCAGTAAGACCACTAAGTTCATAAGGTCAACATACAATTAAAAATAAATTTAAAAAAATCTAAAAATAAATTTTAAAATATAGATGTATAGTCTACCACACATCTAGTCAATATACATTAAAAGTAAATTTTTTAAAAAATTAAAAATATAGATGTATAGCCTACTACACAGCTAGGCTACATGGTATAGCCTATTGCTCCTAGGCTACAAACCTGGACAGCATGTTACTGTGCTGATACTGTAGGCAATTGTAACACAATGATAAGTATTTGTGTATCTAAACATATCTGGACATAGAAAATACACAGTAAAAATGTGGTATAAAAGATTAAAAATGGCACATCTGTATAAGGCATTTACTGTACAAGGAGCTTTCAGACTGGAAGTTGCTCTGGGTGAGTCAATGAGTGCATAGTAAGTGGACATGAAGGCCTAGGACATTACTGTATATTACTGTAGACTTTATAAACACTATACTTGTAGGCTACACTAAAGTTACAAAACATACAGTAATTGTGCTACAATGTTATGATGGCTACAACATCACTAAGTAATAGGAATTTTTCAGCTCCATTATGATCTCATAGGACCATCCTCATATATTTGGTTCATCTTTGATCAAAAAGTCATTATGTAGAGCGTGACTTTATATAGAAAACTATATAACTGAGAAAATTTAAAGATCTTTATAAATTGAAGGATATACCATGTTCATAGATTGGGAGACTTGATATTTTAATATTGTTAGTTCTCCTCAGTTTGATCTATATATTCAGTGCAATCCCAATCAAAAATTCCAGAAGCTTTTTCCTGGAATATCAGTTTGGATTACTCAGAAGTAGACTGTGTAATGAGGATTTGTATTCAAGTACTTTACTAAGGAAATGTTCTCAAAAAGAAAACTAATTAGAAAGTGGGCAAGTAGAACATGGAATGGGAGAAAAGCAAGCAAACTTTTTATTTCAGCCTGATCTGACAAGGGAGCACAGGTGTAAGTTGCACTTCAGAGTTTTCCTCCTTCAAGGCAAATAAACTGGGCTTTCATACGCCTGCAACAGTTAGTCATTGCTAAGATCTGCCCAGAAGTGCATAAACTCTCAGGCATGTCCTGCTTTTTGTACAGTTGGGCAAAGTGGTTCCAGTAGCTCTTAGGGAGTCCTTCAGTGAGAATCACAGGTGCAGGCAGTAGAAAGTAAACATGCACAGAAACTACAGAGTAGGGGGTGTAAAAAGTAAAAAGCAAAAGAGATGCGAGACGTTTAGGTAAAGTCCTGACACAGCTCACTACATGAAATCAATGAGCGATGCTAAAATGTATATAAAAATGCAAACAGCCAAACCAAACAAATATAACTTGGAAAAGGAAGAATAAACTTGGAGTATTTACTCTACATATTCTAAATCTACATTAAATAAAACAAGTGTGGTTCTGGTGCAGTAATAGACAAACAGCCAATGGAAGAAAAATTTCCAAAAACAGATATATACATATATGGTCATATGATTTATATCAAAGATGACTATAGTGTACTGGGAAAACCCTGGTGTTTTTAATAATTTGTCCTGAATTATAGGACATAGGCATGGACAAGGACTTCATGACTAAAACACCAAAAGCAATGGCAACAAAAGCCAAAATTGACAAATGAGATCTAATTAAACTAAAGAGCTTCTACACAGCAAAAGAAACTACCATCAGAGTGAACAGGCAACATACAGAATGGGAGAAAACTTTTACAATCTATCCATCTGACAAAGGGCTAATATCCAGAATCTACAAAGAACTCAAACAAATTTACAAGAAAAAAACAACCCCATCAAAAAGTGGGCAAAGGATATGAACAGACACTTCTCAAAAGAAGAATCTGTGCAGCCAACAGACACATGAAAAAATGTTCCTCATCATCACTGGCCATCAGAGAAATGCAAATCAAAACCACAATGAGATACTATCTCACGCCAGTGAGAATGGCAATCATTAAAAAGTCAGGAATCAACAGATGCTGGAGAGGACGTGGAGAAATAGGAACACTTTTACACTGTTGGTGGGAGTGTAAATTAGTTCAACCTTTGTGGAAGACAGTGAGGCAATTCCTCAAGGATCTGGAACTAGAATTACCATTTGACCCAACAATCCCATTACTGGGTATATACCCAAAGGATTATAAATCATGCTACTATAAAGACACATGCACACATATGTTTATTGTGGCACTATTCACAATAGTAAAGGCTTGGAACCAACCCAAATGCCCATCAGTTGCAGACTGGTTAAAGAAAATGTTGCACATATACACCATGGAATACTATACAGCCATAAAAAAGGATGAGTTCATGTCTTTGCAGGGACGTGGATGAAGCTGGAAACCATCATTCTCAGCAAACTATCACAAGGACAGAAAACCAAACACCTCAAGTTCTCACTCATGGGTAGGAATTGAACAATGAGATCACCTGGACACAGGGCAGGGAACATCACACACCAGGGCCTGTTGGGGCGGGGAGGGGCTGGGGGAGGGATAGCATTAGGAGAAATACCTAATGTAAATGATGAATTGATGGGTGCAGCAAATCAACATGGCACATGTGTACCTATGTATCAAACCTGCACATTGTGTATATGTACCCTAGAACTTAAAGTATAATAATTAAAAAAAATTGTCCAGAATTAATTGAATACTAATACAGAGAAAAATAAACCTTTCACAAAAAATTCAATCCCAGATGGATTGTAGACGTAATGCGATAAGTAAAAAATAAAGCCTCTGGAAGATAACCTACAATCGTATATTTATGACCTTGAGGTAGGTACATATTTCCTTAATAGAACACAATACACTAACCATAAAGGATGCATATATATGACTTTAGTAATAACAACATTTTTCTGTGCATTGAAAGTTACCGTTAAGACAGTGAAAAGACAAAAAAGTAGGGAGAGATATTTAAACTACACCTATCCAACAAAAGATTTATAATAAAAAATTAAAGGATTCCTATAAATCAATAAGAATAGGACACATAGCACAATTTTTAAGTCAGTGAAAAGACTTAAAGAAGCATATCATGAAAGAGGATGTTCAAATGGCCATTAGCACACGTTCAACATTAGTAGCCATCAAGAAATGTAAATTAAAACCACAATGAGATGCACAATGAGATGTCACTACATATCCACAAGAATTACTAAAATTTGTTTTAAATGACAATACCATGCATTTCCAAAAGTGTAGAGCAGCTGGAACTTTTATGCACTGCTGGTAGTGGTGTAATCTGTCTTTGGAAAACTAGAAGAGTCTATTAAGGCTGAAAGAATGCACAGTCAATGGCCAAGCAATTTAACATCTAAATATATACTTACAGGCCCAAAGAGATTGGGACCTATTTTCAGCATTCTTAAAGAAAGGAAATACCAATCAAGAATTTTACATCCCATCAAACTAAGTTTCAAAAGTAAAGGAAAAATAAAAACTTTTTCAGACAAGCAAGCACTAAGGGAATTCCATTACCCCTAGACCAGCCTTACAAAAGATCCTTAGGAAGTTCTAAACATGAAAAGAAAAGAACAATAGCTGTTACCACAAAAATACACTTAAGTGCATAGCCCACAGGCCCTGTAAAGCAACTACACAATAGAAACTACAAAGCAACCAGTTAACAATTTCACAATAGAATCAAAACCTCACATATCAATACTAACCTTGAATTTATAACACATGAGCTAAACACCTCACTTGAAAGGCATGGAGTAGTAAGTTGGATCAAAAAAAAAAAATGAGACCCATCCATCGTCTGTCTTCAAGAAACCCATCTCACATGTAATGACACCCACAGGCTCAAAGTAAAGAGTTGGAGAAAAATCTGTCACTCAAATATTTATTTAAAAAAAAAGAAGAGCAGGGTCACTATTCTTATACCAGATAAAACAGACTTTAAACCAACAACAGTAAAGAAGGACAAAGAAGGGCATGACATAATGACAAAGGGTTCAATTCAACAGGACAACTTAACCATCCTAAATACATACACACTCAACACTGAAACACCCAGATTCATAAAACAAGTATGTCCAGACCTACAAAAAGACTTAGATAGCCACATGATAATAGTGGGGTACTTCAACAATCTACTGATAGCATTAAACAGATCATCAAGGGAGAAAATTAACAAATAAATTTTGAACTTAAATTTGACACTTGACCAATCGGACCTAATAGACATCTACAGAGTACTATACCCATCAACCATAGAATATACATTCTTTCTCATCTGCACACAAGACATTCTCTAAGATTGACCACATGCCTGGCTGTAAAGCAAGTCTCAAGAAACAAAACAAAATTGAAATCATGTCAACCATACTCTCAGACCACAGTGAAATAAAAATAGAAATCAATACTAAGAAGAGCTCTCAAAACCACATAATTACATGGAAATTAAATAACTTGCTCCAAGTAGCTTTTTGGTAAACAATGAAATTAAGGCAGAAATAAAAAAAATTTGAAATCAATGAAAACAGAGACACAACATACCAAAATCTCTGGCATGTAGCAAAAGTACTGCTAAGAGGAAAGCTTATAGCACTAAACATCTACATCAAGAAGTTAGAAAGATCTCAAATCAATGATCTAACATCACACCTCGAGGAACTAGAAAAACAAGAACAAGCTAACCTCAAAGGTAGAAGAAGAAAAGAAATAACAAAAATCAGAGTAGAACAAAATGAAATTGAGAACTCAAAATTCATCTAATAAAACCAAAAATTTGTGTTTTGGTTTTAGGATAAGCAAGATCAATAGACTGCTAGCTATATTAACAACAACAACAAAAAAGAGATCTAAACAAGCACAATCAGAAGTGACAAAGGTGACATTATAATCGACCCCACAAAAACATAAAGATCTTGGGAGACTATTATGAACACCTCTGTGCACAAAAACTAGAAAATCTAGAGGAAATTGATAACTTCCTAGAAACACACAACCTCCTAAGATTGAAGCAGGAAGAAACTGAAACCCTGAAAAGACAAATATTGAGTTCCAGAATTAAATGAGTAATTAGAAACCTACCAAACACACAAAAAAAGCCCTGAGCCACATGGATTCATAGCCAAATTCTACCAAACATATGAAGAACTGGTACCAATTCTACTGAAACTATTGCAAAAAAGAGAGGATCCTCTCTAACTCATTTTACAAAAGCAATATCACCTTAATGCCAAAATCTGACAAAGACAAAACAAAGAAATCTATAGGCCAATAGCCCTGATGAACATAGATGCAAACATCCTCAACAAAATACTAGCAAACTGAATCCAGCAGCACATCAAAAAGTTAATTCACCACAATCAAGTAGGCTTTATATCTGGGATATAAGGATAGTTCAACATATGCATATTAATAAATGTAACTCACCACATAAACAGAATCAAGAACAAAAACCATACAATAATCTCAATAGGCATAGAAAAAAGCTTTTGATAAAATTTAACATCCCTTCATGATAAAAAAAAAAACCCTTAACAAACTAAGCATTGAAGGAACATGTCTCAAAATAAGACCCATTTATTACAAACCCACAGCCAACATCATATTGAATGGGCAAAAGCTGGAATCATTCTCCTTAAGAACAGGAGCAGGACAAGAATGCTCACCCTCACCACTTCTGTTCCACATAGTACTGCACATCCTAGCCAGAGCAATCAGGAAAGACAAAGAAAAGGCATCCAAATAGGAAAAGAAGTCAAATTATCTCTCTTCATGAATGATATGATTCTGTATCTAGAAAAGCCTAATGACTCTACCAAGAGGCTCTTAGAATGGATCGACAACTTCAGAAAAGTTTCAGGGTGCAAAAATCAATGTACAAAATCAGCAGCATTTCTATACACCAATAACATTCAAGCTGAAAGCCAAATGAAGAATGAAATTCCTATTGGGTGTCAATGTACACTGCTCAGGTGCTGGGTGTACCAAATCTCAGAAATCGCCACTAAAGAACTTATCCATGTAACCAAACACCACCCATTCCCCAAAAACCTTTTATTGAAATTTAAAAAAATTTAAGAAGAATTCAATTCCATTTACAATAGCCACAAATAAAAATACCTAGGAATACAGCTAACCAAGGAGGTGAAAGATCTCTATAAAGAGAATTACAAAACACGACTGAAAGAAATCACAGATGACATAAACAAGTAGAAAACCATTCCATGCTCATGGATTGAAGGGATCATTATCTTAAAATGTTAATACTGCCCAAAGAAATCTACAGATTCAATGTTATTCCTATCAAACTACTGATGTCATTTTTCACAGGATTAGAAAAAACTATTCTAAAATTTATATGAAACCAAAAAAGAGCCCTGACAGTCAAAGCCATCCTAAGCAAAAAGAACAAAGCTAGAAGCATCACAATACCCAATTTCAAACTACACTGTAAGGCTACAGTAACCAAAACAGCATGGGACTGGTACAGAAATAGACACATAGACCAATGGAACAGAATAGAAAACTCGGAAATAATGCTGTACACCTACAACTATCTGATCTTTGACAAAAATCAACAAAATAAGAAATGGGGAAAGGACTCCCTATTCAATAAAAGGTGCTGTAAAGACTAGTTAACCATATACAGAAGAATGAAAACAGAGCCCTACCTTTCACCATATACAAAAAAATAACTCAAGATGGATTAAACACCTAGATATAAGATCTCAAACAATAAAAATCCTAGAAGAAAATCTAGGAAATACCATTCTGGACATCAGCCTTGCCAAATAATGTATGGCTAAGTCTTTTCAAGAGCAATGGTAACAGAAATAGAAATTGATAAGCAAGACCTAATTAAACTAAAGAGCTTCTGCACAGCAAAAGAAACTATAAACAGAGTAAAGAGACAATCTACAGAATGAGTGATAATATTTGCAAACTATGCATCAGACAAAAGTCTAATATCCATAATCTCTAAGGAACCTAAACAATTCAACAAGCAAAAAAACAACCCCATTAAAAAGTGGGCAAAGGGCCAGGCTCGGTGGCTCACGCCTGTAATCCCAGTACTTTGGGAGGCCGACGTGGGCATATCACGAGGTCAGGAGTTCAAGACCAGCCTGGCTAACATGGTGAAATCCCGTCTCTACTAAACAAAATACAAAAAAAAAAAAAATTAGCCGGGCGTGGTGGCGGGTGCCTGTAGTCCCAGCTACTCGGGAGGTTGAGGCAGGAGAATGGTGTGAACTCAGGAGGCGGAGCGTGAAGTGAGCTGAAATCGCGCCACTGCACTCCAGCCTGGAGCCTGGGTGACAGAGCGAGACTCTGACTCAAAAAAAAAAAAAAAAAAAAAAAAAAGTGGGCAAAGGACATGAACAGATACTTCTCAAAAGAAAACCTACAAGCGGCCAACAAACATAAAAAAAAGTTCAACATCGCTAATCATCAGAGAAATGCAAATTAAAACCAGATAAGATACCATCTCACACCACTCAGAATGGCCATTATTAAAAAGTCAAAAAAGAACAGATGCTGGCAAAGCTGCAGAGAAAAGGGAACACTTACACACTGTTGATGGGAGTGTAAATTAGTTCAGTCACTGTGGAAAGCAATTTAAATATTTCTCACAGGACTTAAAACAGAACTACCATTTGACCCAGCAATCCTATTACTGAGTATATACCCAAAGGAAAACCAAGTGCTCTACCAAAAAGACACATGCACTCGTATGTTCATTGCCACACTATTCACACTAACAAAGACACAGAATCAACCTAGGTGCCCATCGGTGTGGACTGGATAAATAAAACATGGTACCTATACACCATAGAATACCATGCAGCCATAAAAATAATGAAATCATGTGTTTCCAGCAACATGGATGCAGCTAGAAACCATTATCCTAAGCAAATTTACACAGGAACAGAAAACCAAATACCACATGTTCTCATGTATAAATGGGAGCTAAACATTGGGTATACTGAACATAAAGATGGGAAAAATAACTGGGGATAAACACTGGGGACTACTAAAGATGGGAGTGTGGTGGGGGAAAAGGGCTAAAACACTACATATTGGGTACTATGCTCACTACCTGAGTGACAAAACCATTAATACCCCAGACCTCACTGTCATACAATATGCCCCTGTAACAAACCTGTGCATGTACCCAATGAATATAAAACAAACGTTGAAATTATTTTTAAAAAAAAATCTTAAATGGGCAATGATGCAAAGACATACAGAGTGGTAGAACGGACATTAGAAACTCAGAAGTGGGGAGGGTGGGAGCAGGGTCAGGCATGAAAAATTATTGGTTGGCTACAATGTACACTATTTGGGTGATGAGTACACTTAAAGTCTAGACTCCACCACTATACAATTTGTTCATGTAACCAAAAACTCCTTATAACCCCTAAAGCTATTGAAATAAAACTTAAAAGAAAAAAGAAACGGGCAATAACAATTCACAAAGGCTTCTCATAAACATTAATAATTGTTCATACAAAGTATGAGGGCTTCTCAACCTATCTGTGTTTGTTTCAAGTACTGAAATTTTTGCAAGCAAGATTAAAGAAGTATTAAAGTAAATATTCATTCTGCACTCTTTAATTTTTTCTGATTAACAATGAAAATTTATGAAATTATTTTTAAAAATTGACAACTATTGGGAAAAAAATAAAATAGGTCTTTGGTAAAGAAAAATTGGGGAACCATTGAGCTACATCATCACTTGTAATGCTTCTCCCCAGTAGCACAATTACACAGTGTTTGGGATCAGCTATGGGGCTTGTTTTAAGTCATTCGTTATGAGTATTGATTAAAAAAACAGTGATTGTGAGTGTTTTATACATTTTTATGAATTAAAGTAGATTCAAATATTTCTATATTTTTTCATTTAGATACTCAAATGCTAATTTATGTGGTAACAAAAATGATGGTATTTTGTGAAGTTTACAGAGAACCAAACAGTTCTGAATGTGCTCATGGGTGTTGTTTATGTTAGCATCATCTGTCACATATATCTTACTTCAAAGCTTTTTTTTTACTCCCTTTCCTCTGAATCTCCTTGAGCTTCATTTTTGTCATTCATAAAGCAAGATATAATCATTTTTACCTACCTTATACGCTGATATAAGGATTACATAATAACACCTGTTCAATGTGTACTGTCTGGTCAATGCTCTACCAGGCATTTCCCACATATTTTTATTTTCTGGATCTGACATTCTGGGTATAAAATGTGAGTCAATCTCTTCAGCTGAACAACAGCTTATGTCAAACTCAGTCCATTATTTTATGAAAACTTGATTTTCTTCATGGAACATTCTAAGAAACCAACACACTTTACAGGAGCAAAAATGAGAAACAAGTTTTCACCCTTTGTAGAGTCGTGTTTTAGTGAGCCAAATACAAATTAAAAAGCATTTGTTCTGGGGATTAATTTTTTAAGCAAACGTAGAGCCATACAACCCTAATGTCTATCCTCTTCTACTTCATAGCTTGTATCCACACCTGAAACAATAAATAACTGTCTTCTTTCAATAGAATGTAAACTCCAATCAGCCAGCTATTTTGTCAGTTTTATTCATCATCTAACTTCAGAGTCTAGAAGACTTCCTGACACATAGTGACCACCCAATAAATATTCACTGGCTAACTGAACAAGCATGAATGAATGAGTGAATAATGGGAGGAGAGCTTCAGAACCATAATGCCAAGCCAGCAGTCTCTGATTGTATATTTCCTATCACTTAAGCAGACACATCCCTGGTTTCAGGAGAAGGCTCTACTTGAATATCCTGTGTTAACACGTCATCTGTAATTATCCACAGTCCATTGTTCCTTCTATCAGTCAGTGTCTGACAAGAAACAGAACACCCACTATGTTTAACTGAAGGAAACTTAATGAAGAGATTATTTACAGAAGTGTGGATAGTGTCAAGGGAACCAACAAGAGATAGTAACATACCCAGACACCAATGATGGCAAAGAGCTATGACCACTCCAATGGCTAAAGGGACAAGGAGAGGGACCAACATTGCCCAGTGAGTCTGGAAGATCAGGAAGAGGGGCTGCCCCGCCAGGGCTGCTGTTGGAAAGGGATGCAGCCACTGCCAAACACATGCAACCACAGTGAGTTAGAGCGGAAGTTGAAAGATTGAGTACTCACACCTTCCTCTCTGTTGCCCTCCCTCCAGTATCCTGCAGCACTCACTGGCCAAACTCAACTGGAAAACAAAGAAGAAAGAACCTGGGTGATACACTCCATAGGGACCAGAGTCTGGGGGCTCAGAGCAAATCAGAGAAGAGTAGAGAGCACATCTTGAGGGACTAACAGGGAAGAACCAACACAGCCCCTTCACATATTTTCCACCCATTGGTGGAAAACGAGCTGAAATATTCACTGTGCCCTCTATCTTTAATTCTTTGTGACAGGCTTTAATCCTCTCTCCCCAACTACATTCACTGGTCTGTCGTCTTCTCGATCTTGTATGATCACATGTGGAAAGCAAATACGAGTTAAAGGGTAATCACATAGTAGGGGTACTCAGTACGTGAGCACCCAGCAGATGTCAGACACTGGGCTGAGCACTGGATAGAGAACAGCAAATGGAGCTCCTCTTTCCTCAAGGTACTTACAGACATAGAGCGGAGGATTCAAAAGAAAGAGAACAAATCAACTAAAATTGTAACAAGGCAAGATAGCAGTTTATTGGGAATAAATGAAGAAAACCATGAAATACTTTCTTAATGAAAAATGGAAGGCCTGGCACAGTGACTCCTGCCTATAATCCGAGCATCTTGGGAAGCCAAGACAGGAGGATTGCTTGAGCCCAGGAGTTCAAGACCAGTTTGGGCAACATAGTGAGACCCTGTCTCTACAAATAATAATTTTTAAAAATTATATGAGTGTGGTAGCACATACTTGTGGTCCTAGCTGCTCAGGAGCCTGAGGCAGGAGGATCACCTGAGCCCAGGAGGTTGAGGCTGCAGTGAGCTGTAAACACACCACCGCACTATAGCCTGAGTGATGAAGTAAGACCCTGTCTCAAACAAAAACAAATTAAAATTTTTACAAATTTTATAAAAGGAAAAATAGAAACTTACATTATTGCATTCATTTCTACAAAGTTTTATCTTCTTTAAGCTTTTGTATTTTACAAGAAAAAAAAGACATTGGTGTTGATTTGAGGTAGCCAAAACAATAGTGAGTAGAAATAATTTCTGGGCACAAGAGTAGAAAGAGAAGCTTTGGAATCAAAGAACGGGAATCAAATCTTTGTTTCTACCACTTTGAAGTCCAAAAGTACTGCAATTTCATCTCTACATGGTGATAGTGATACCTATGCTACAGGGTGGCTGAGAAAATAAAATTATTTGACTTTTTGTACACAAAAGCATTTCTGGGCACTGTGCTAAGAATTCACGGTGTTATTTCTTTTTCTTTTTGCGGTGTTATTTCTAGTTAAAATATTCAACCAATATATAATGAGTAGGGTAGAAAATAGACCTGATATAGGTGAAATCTCTATATGTCCCTGTAATTGTAATTAAGGCCATCTTGGGAATAAAATGTTATAACACTGTCCATATGATTTCAAATTGTGCTCTCAATTTTCTACCCCAGGAAAAAAGCACATGATTGCACATCAAAAAACTTCTGCTCAGTGGCTAAGTTTCAGATTAGAGTTAATTTCAAGGTTGATTGGAATGTCAGAGTTAATGATTTTGTCCCCAAAAACTTGGAATTTGTAATTATCCTAAAGACTGTAAACAGCGTTGGAAAGAGCTATTTGTCTTCAGCTTGTTTTTTCCCAGAATTTCCCAGAACTGCTCCCTACCATAATCTCTTTCTGCAATAACCTCAACTGTATGCAATAGTATAATAGTTAAAACTGTGGCGCCTGGCACTCTTCTGAATTTACAAACCAGTCAGTCTATTATCAGTGTTGTTATTAGGTCACCAAGATTGTTTAACCAAAAAGTGACACAATTCTTTACCCCAACCCCCATCCATTGTTTGGCTAAGGCTAAATAAAATATGAGAAAAATATAATAAACTAAATAAGTTGGTTTGAATCCCAGATAATAAAGCACATGTGTCAAAAAGAAGTGAAAGAAGTAAAGTTATTTAAATATGGGAAATTTGTTAGTTTTCGGTAGCAAATCAGGACTGAGAAAATAGAACGGAGTAGAAAAGAGGGAAGAAGAAAGGGAAGGATGAGAGGGGAAAAGAGGGGAGCCAGGAGAGACAGAGTGAGAAGAAAGAAGAAGTAGAAGGAGGAGGAAGAAGAAAAGACAAAAAAGGAAAAGAAAGCAAGTGTGAATCCAATCCTGCAAAAGTTCACAATAACATTAGTTTCTAAGAAGAATGGGCTTGGTCCCCTATTGTGGCATCCAATGTCACTGGTATTTAAATGATTCCACCATCCAGAGATTATTTATGAACTTCAAGACCATAAATCTGTTCTGGATGACCGTGGAGCATGGCTTATGTCCTTTGGGACATGCTATGTGATACAGCTAAGCCTCTATTCCAACCCATTCCCTATCCTTGATGCGTTTCTCTCCACAGTCGTTCAGTCTTCTCATATTAAGTTGGAATTCCACACTGGCAGAGCTAGAGGGCTCTTGGAGTTCATTTAGTCCAGCCCTGCTATTCTAAAGAGAAACTAAAGCCCAGAGAAGAACAGCAGCTATTTGTCCAAAAAGCCAAGGCTAGAAAAACAATACTTGCTCCAGTCTGAGGTACCTCACAAAAAACAAAAATGAGATTTTATACAGGGCTGCAGTTGGGATAAGAGGATCAGGAATTGTTTACCTCACCCCTGAACTACCACTCCCTGTGCTCAGTGATTCTTTTGACAGGAAGCAAACAAAGTCTTCTGCTCTTCGGGGAGAATGAAGAATGTTGGGACTGACATTTATTGAGCGCTTTGTATGTGCCAGCCACTGTGCTCCTTGCTTCATATTCATGATCTCATTTAATCTTCACCACAACCTAATAACCTGGCTTCTCTGAGCACCAGTTTCCTCATCTGTAAGATGACCTTCCTAAGGTCACATAGAGTAAGTTTGTTTGCCTTTTAAACAGCAATGGTGCTGGGGAGTGGGGTGGATTTTGGAACCACTTGGATAAAGACACACAAAAATTAAAATTATCTGTAAGTTCTGAGTATTCTTTTCAGAATCACTCCTAACAGCAGAGGGATAGAGATAGAAAGCTATGGGAAGATGAGAGAAGTCTTCATTCATGTGCTTTTTTCACAGTCGGCTAAGTTGTATTAACAATTTTGTTAGTCAAGGGAGGCTATCATCTATATAACAAGCACAGCTTTGTTGTTAAGCCATTGAGATTTGAGAGTTCTTGCCCACTCCACGGTGCAAGCAAGTGTTCATCCAGCAGACTTCTTCACGGTGATTCAGAGCTCAGATTCCTCCCATCTTGTGGCACTGCCATCTTCACCATGTGACCTCCAAGGCAGCCACAGAAAAAAAGAGGATCGAGTACTGTGCAGAAGAGAATACATCACTACTACCCACCTGCCACTGGCTCTACCATGAGTGCAAAGGGCTGGGATGAGGCTTAGCTGTGTGCCTGAGAAAAGAGGAAACCAGGCCTGTGGTAAGCACTAGTGTTCTCTGCCACAATATACGGCCTTAAACAGGCAAAGAATTCTCCCATTATGTCAGAGAGTACCCCCAATAACCATGTGAGTTCAGTACCCTCAGAGTGAAGCTCTGAGGGGAGAATTAGATTCTATCAATGTTACACAGACTTAGGCTGTAGACACAGAAAAGCTCAGGTCATATTTCAGATATAAATGCAAAGTTCTTTCCTCCAAGGTCCCAGGCAATCCTGTGCTGACCAAGGGAGCTAGAAAACATTTGGCTCCTCCTTACCTAGCACAGCATCTGTAAGGCATTTCTCAACACTGAGTGAACGTCATGATAGCAACACACAGGCTGAGACACTCAGCCACTCCTTCATTAATGCAGCCAAGGAAGGAAGAGCCTGGGCTTTTCTGTCTAAATTCTTAGAATCATTGAGTCAAGCTGGCCTGGGAAATCTCAAGATATCACGTTGGCACAGTCTAGGTAGAGGAAATCAGGCATCCTGACTTCTCACTCAGAACTTTTCAAGCTTCCAAGAGTACTGCGGCCCTCTGGTTTCTGCCCAAGAGATAACTGGAAAACTTTTTCCAGTGTCTCTCCATACAAGATAATGGTTTACAGATTGGAAAGTTAAAGCATAATCTTCAAACACAAAAGGTGGGTTTGCTTCAGTATGTGGCTGATAAAGTAAAATCAACTGTCTATTAAAAACAAAATAAACACTGAGAAATGGAACATTAATAGAAACCAAACTAGAGGCAAGAAACCTGAATTTTGGATCTGGCTGTGACATTTACGATTTGTGTGATCCTGAACAGTTAGCTACAATACTCTCTGAATCTTGACATTCTCTTTTGTTGAAACCAAATGGGTTAGGTTCAGTGGTTCTCAACTAGGGGCCACACTGTCCCCTAAGGGGCATTTGTCAAAGCATGAGGGCATTTTTTGATTGTCCAGTTGTGCCTGGAGGATACAACTAGCACTTAGCAAGTAGAGAGGCCAGGGAAGCTCCATGTCCTGCAGTATGTGAAATAGTCTCACCCAATAAAGAATTATCCCTCCCATAATGCCAGTGTCATCACTGTAAGAAGAAAAATCACCCAGGATAATATATCACTACTAGGATCAAAGATTTTTTAACATAAAATTAGCCTAACTTTCTGCTTTCCTGGCTAGGAAACTCACAGCAAATTGGAGAATTCTCATTCACAGCTCCTTGTAACCTAAGTGCTTGGTATTATACTTTCTATCCCTTCTTTTCCTCATTCTCACTATATACTATCCCTCTCTCTCCTTCTCTCCAACACACAGACACACACACACACACAGACACACACACACACACACACACACACCAATTTCAAGCTTCTTAACTTTTCAATCTTACCTTAATGGTCCAATTTTAAATAAATCTTTTTTTCTATTGTTAATATACTTTTAAAAATAATTATTTTTTATTTTTATTTCAACACTTTTTGGGGTACAGGTGGTTTTGCTTACATGAATAATTTCTTGTCTTTTTCTTTTTTTTTTTTGAGATGGAGTTGCTTTCTTGCCATTGACGCTGGAGTGCAGTGGCGCGATCTTGGCTCACTGCAACCTCTGCCTCCCAGGTTCCAGCAATTCTCCTGCCTCAGCCTCCCAAGAAGCTGGGATTATAGGCACACACCACCACAACTGGCTACTTTATGTATTTTTAGTAGAGACAAGGTTTCACCATGTTGACAAGGCTGGTCTCGAACTCCTGACCTCAGGTGATCCACCCATCTCAGCTTCCCAAAGTGTTGAGATTACAGGCATGAGCCACCACATCAGTCCTCGATAATTTCTTTAGTTGTGATTTCTGAGATTTTGGTGCACATGTCACCTGAGCAGTGTACATTGTACCCAACATGTAATCTTTTATCACTCACCCCTCTCTCAACCTTCCCCTGTGAGTGCCAAAGGTCCATTATATTATTCTTATGCCTTTGCATCCTCATAGCTTAGCTCCCACTTATAAGTGAGAACATACAATATTTGGTTTTCCATTTCTGAGTTAACTTCACTTAGAATAATGGCCCCCAGCTCCATCCAAGTCGTTGCAAAGAGATTACTTCATTTTTCTTTATGAATGAGTAGTATTCCATTTTACATATATATACAGTATATACTATATAATATATACATAATATGTAGTATGTACTATGTATTATATACATTATATATAGCATATACTATATATTATATACATTATATAGTATATACTATATATTATATACATTATATAGTATATAATATATATTATATACATTATATATAGTATATAATATATATTATATACAGTATATATTATATAATATATACTATATATACTATGTACACATATGGTGTATATATACTGTATATGGTACAGTATATATATACATATAGTACATATGTATGTATATATACATACTATACATATAGTATAGATGTATACTATACCATGATATAGTATAGATGTATACTATACCATGGAATAGTATAGATGTATACTATACCATGGTATACATGTATCTATACTATATTCTACATGTATACACGTATCTATTAGTATACATGTATACATGTATACATGTATCTATACTATAGATGTATACTATACCATGTATACATGTATCTATACTATACATGTATACATGTATCTGTACTATAGTATAGATGTATAGTATACCATGTATACATGTATACATGTATGCATGTATCTATACTATAGTATACAGGTATACTATAGATGTATAGATGTATACTATACATGTATAGATGTATAGATGTATACTATACATGTATAGATGTATAGATGTATACTATACATGTATAGATGTATAGATGTATACTATACATGTATAGATGTATAGATGTATACTATACATGTATAGATGTATAGATGTATACTATACATGTATAGATGTATAGATGTATACTATACATGTATAGATGTATAGATGTATACTATACATGTATAGATGTATACATGTATACTATACATGTATAGATGTATACATGTATACTATACATGTATACATCTATACATGTATACTATACATGTATACATGTATACATGTATACATGTATACTATACATGTATAGATGTATACATGTATCTATACTATAGTATAGACGCATACTATACCATGGTATAGTATAGACGTATATATGTAGAGTGTATATATATATATATATATATATATATATATACAGCTCCATCCAAGTTGTTGCAAAAGACATTACTTCATTCTTTTTTATGGCTGAGTAGTATTCCATTTCATATAAATATAGAGTATATACTACTTATATATTATATATATTATATATGTATATTATATATAGTATATATACTCTACACATAGTCTATATTATATATAGTCTACATAATATATAGTATATATACTACATACTATATATACAGTATATATACTATAAATACTATAAATAGTGTACATATACTATATATAGTATATATAGTATATATAGTGTATATATACACCAGATATATTATATATAGTATGTATACTATATATGGTAAGTATAGTATACTATATACGGTATGTATACTATATATGGTATGTATAGTATACTATATATGGTATGTATACTATATATAGTATATATGGTGTATATATACACTACATATACTATATATAGTATATATATAGTATATAGTCAGAATGAGGAAAAGTATATATAGTATATACTATATATTATATAGACTGTATATAATATAGACTATATAATACATAGAATATACTATATATACAGTATATACATATGTGATATATAATATAAACACTATGTACTATATATATAAAATGGAATACTACTCAGCCATAAAAAAGAATGAAGTAATGTCTTTTGCAACAACTTGGATGGAGCCGTATATATATATATATATATATATATATATATATATATATATATATATATACATCTATACTATACCATGGTACAGCATACGTCTATACTATACCATGGTACAGCATACGTCTATAGTATAGCATGGTGCAGTATACATCTATACTATAGCATGGTACAGTATACGTCTATACTATACCATGGTACGGTATACGTCTATACTATATGTATACTATATATACACTATAACATATACAGTATATATACACTATATATACATAGTATATATAGTGTATATATACATAGTATATATAGTGTATATATACATAGTATATATAGTGTATATATACATAGTATATATAGTGTATATATACATAGTATATATAGTGTATATATACATAGTATATATAGTGTATATATACATAGTATATATAGTGTATATATACATAGTATATATAGTGTATATATACTATATATTATATACATTATATATAGTATACACTATATATAATGTATATAATATATGGTATATACTATATCTTATGTATATAACATATAGTATATACTATATATAATGTATATAATATATAGTATTTATTGTGTATATATATAAAATGGAATACTATTCGGCCATGAAGAAGAATGAAGTCATGTCTTTGCAACAACTTGGATGGAGCTGGGGGCCATTATTCTAAGTGAAGTAACTCAGAAATGGAAAACCAAATATTGTATGTTCTCACTTATAAATGGGAGCTAAGCTATGAGGATGCAATATGTATACTACATATATACTATATAGTATAACATATATACTATATAGTATATATAGTATATATAGTGAATATATAGTGTATCTATAGTATATATAGTGTATATATTATATATAATATATATTATATATAGTATATATATTTTATATACACATTATATATATTATACACTACATATACACTATGTATACTGTATATAGTATATATAATATATAATATATATTATGTATACACTATATATACTGTATATAGTATAGATAATATATACTATATATTATATACACTACATATACACTACATATACTGTATACAGTATATAGTATATACTGTCTATAGTGTATACAGTATATAGTATATACTGTCTATAGTATATAAAGTATCTACTGTCTATAGTATATATTATATATAGTATATACAATATATAATATATACTATATAGAAAATATTATATATTATATATTTTATTTATAGTGTGTATATAATATGTAGTATATTACCTATAGTGTGTATATATACTATATGCTATATATACCATATATACACCATCTATATACCATATATATAATTACATATACCATATATCTAATTGCATATACCATATATTTAACTATATATAATATATATTATATATAGTGTGTATATAATATATAGTATATAAAGTGTGTATATAAACACCATATATACACACCATATATATAAACCATATATATACCATATATACAATATATATACCTTATATATACCATATATATACAATATATACCTTATATATACCATATATATACTATATATACCTTATATATACCATATATATACCTTATATATATCATATATAACATATATATACACCATATGTATATATCATATATATACCATATACATACCATATGCATGTATAATATATATACCATATATATACCATATACATATATAATATATATCATATATATAACCCATATATATACCATATATGTACCCCATATATACTATATGTATACCATACATATACCATATATATACACAACATATATTCCATATATATACTATGTATATGCCATAAATATATACACCATATATATATACACCGTATATATACACCATATATATACGGTATATATACCATATATACGATACATATATACACCATACATATACCATATATGTACCATATATATACACACCATATTTATATATCATATATATACACCATGTATATGCCATATATATACACCCATATATATACACCATATATATGCACCATATATACAAACCATATATATACTATATGTATATACCATATATATACCATATATACGTACCATATATATTCCATATATACGTACCATATATATACCGTATATACGTACCATATATATACCGTATATACGTACCATATATATACCGTATATACGTACCATATATATACCGTATATACGTACCATATATATACCGTATATACGTACCATATATATACCGTATATACGTACCATATATATACCGTATATACGTACCATATCTATACCGTATGTACGTACCATATATTTACCGTATGTATGTACATATATACCGTATGTATGTACCATATATATACCGTATATATGTACCATATATATAACAAGTATATGTACCCTATACCTGTACCATGTGTATATGTACCCTATTCGTGTACCATGTTTATATGTACCCTATACCTGTACCATGTGTATATGTACCATGTTTGTGTACCATGTATATATGTATCATGTATGTGTAACATGTATTTGTGTATCATGTATATGTACCATATATGTTTGCCACGTATATGTACCATATATGTGTGCCATGTATATGTACCATATATGTGTACCATATATGTATACCTTATATGTGTGCCATATATGTATACCTTATATGTGTACCATATATGTATACCTTATATGTGTACCATATATGTATACCATATATACATATATATACCATATATACATACCATATATACACCATATATACATATCATATATATACCATATATATACATACCATAGACATATAACATATATATACATACCATATATATACAATATATACATCATATATGGTATACCATATACCATATATATACCATATACATACCATATATGGTATACCATATACATACCATATATGGTATACCATATACCATATATATACCGTATATGGTATACCATATACCATATATATACCGTATATATACCTTATATATACCATATATATACCATATATACACCATATATACACCATATATACCATATATAACGTATATATACCATATATAAAACATATATATCACTATATATTACATATATACCCCATATATATAACATACATATATACCATATGTATATAACATACATATACACCATATATATACCCTATATACACACCATATATACATAGCATATATACACACCATATATATACACCATATATGTACACCATATATATACACCATATACATGTACACCATATATATAACCATGTATATACACACCATATGTACACCATATATACACACACCGTGTATATATACACCGTATATACACACACCGTGTATATATACACCGTATATACACACACCGTGTATATATACACCGTATATACACACACCGTGTATATATACACCGTATATACACACACCGTGTATATATACACCGTATATACACACACCGTATACATATACAGTACATAGATACCATGTATATATGTACTGTATATGTATATGGTGTATATATGTACTGTATATGTATACCATGTATATATGTACCCTATGTGTATACCATGTATATATGTACCGTATGTGTATACCATGTATATATGTACCGTATATGTATACCATGTATATATGTACCGTATATGTATACCATGTATATATGTACCGTATATGTATACCATGTATATGTAGCATATATGTATACCATGTGTATGTACCGTATATATACCATGTATATGTACCATATATATACCATGTATATGTGCCATATATATACCATGTATATGTACCATATATACTATATATATACGCCATATATATCTATTATATATATACACCATATAAATACTATGTATATATACACCATATATATATACTATATATATATATATACCGTATATATATATATAGTATATTTTCTTAATCTACTCGTTGGTTGATGGATACTTAGGCTGGTTTCATATCTTTGCAATTGCAAATTGTGCTGCTATAAACATGAGTGTGCATGTCTTTTTCATATAATGACTTCTTTTCGTTTGGGTAGATAACCAGTAGCAGGATTACTGGATTGAATGGTAGTTCTACTTTTAGTTATTTAAGGAATCTCCATACTGTTTTCCATAGTAGTTGTACTAGTTTATACTCCCACCAGAAATTAAAGATGACACAAACAAATGGAAACACATCCCATGCTCATGGATGGGTAGAATCAATATTGTGAAAATAACCATACTGCCCAAAGCAATCTACAGATTCAATGCAATTCCCATCAAACTACCATCGTTCATCACAGAACTAGAAAAAATAATCTTAAAATGCATATGGAACCACAAAAGCACCCACATAGCCAAAGCAAGACTAAGCAGAAAGAACAAATTTGGAGGCATCACATTATTTGACTTCAAATTATACTACAAGGCTATACTTACCAAAACAGCATGGTACTGGTATTAAAATGGGCACATAGACCAATGGAACAGAATAGAGAACCCAGAAATAAAGTGAAATACTTACAGACAACTGATCTTCAACAAAGCATACAAAAACATAAACTGGGGAAAGGACGCCCTATTCAATAAATGGTTCTAGGAAAAGTGGCAAGCCACTTGTAGAAGAATGAAACTGTAGAAGAATGAAACTGGAACCTCATCTCTCACCTTATACAAAAATCAACTCAAGACAGATCAAAGACTTAAATCTGAGACCTGAAACCATACAAATTCTAGAAGATAACATTGAATAAACTGTTCTAGACATTGGGTTAGGCAAAGAATTTATGACTAAAACCCAAAAAGCAAATGCAACGAAAACAAAAATAAATAAATTATACCCAATTAATCTAAAAATCTTCTGCACAGCAAAAGGAATTATCAGCAGAGTAAACAGACAACCCACATAGTGGGAGAAAACATTAACAAACTATCCACCTGACAAAGGACTAATATCCAGAATGTGTAAGAAACTCAAACAAATCAGCAAGAAAAAAAACAAATAACCTCATTAAACAGTGGGCAAAGGGCCGGGTGCGATGGCTCACGCCTGTAATCCCAACACTTTGGGAGGCTGAAGTGGGTGGATCACCGAAGGTCAGGAGTTCGAAACCAGCCTGGCCAACAAGGTGAAACCTCGTCTCTACTAAAAATACAAAAAATTAGCTATGCATTGTGGTGCATACCTGTAATCCCAGCTACTTGGGAGGCTGAGGCAGGAGAATTGCTTAAACCTGGAAGGTGGAGGTCGCCGTGAGCTGAGATCACACCATTGCACTCTAGCCTGGGCAACAAGAGTGAAACTCCGTCTCAAAAAAAAAAAAAAAAAAAAAGTGGACAAAGGACATGAATAGATAATTCTCAAAAGAAGATATACAAACAGCCAACAAACATATGAAAAAATGCTCAACATTACTAATTATCAGGGAAATGCAAACTAAAACCACAATGAGATACCTTCTTACTCCTGCAAGAATGGCCATAATTTAAAAATCAAAAAATAATAGAGGTTGGCATGGATGTGGTGAAAAGGAAACACTTTACACTGTTAAATACTTTTTAAAAATGGATTTCTAATTTAATATCACATTGTTTCATTGTGAGTTGTTTATGTATGTTCCCTCCACTAGACCAAACTCCTCAATAGGAGGGAACATGTCTTATTCCTACATTTATTCATTCATACAATCATTCAAAATAACATTTATAGTAGCTAATATTTATTTAGCATTTACTATGAACCAGGAACAGTACTAAGAGCTTTACATGTATTAAGCCAATTAGCCCTTAAGTACTGTTCAGTGATATAATTATCTCCTATTACAGATGAGGAAATTGAGGCTACAAGAGATTAAGTGACTTGCCCATAGTCACACAACTAGGGATTGTATTAGGAACTGGAGACCCAGCAATGGAAATCAAGTTCCCGAACTCAAGCAGCTTGCATTCCAACAGACAAATAAATGGATATACACAGAAGAGCATGATATACAGAAAAGCATGTTTCCAGGAATAATTGTAGAGAATGCCAAATGAGCACCAATGAGGGGCACAAAGCATAGTTTCTGCAGAAGGAGAGACCCAGAGAAGGTAATGCCTGAACAGAAGCCAGAGGCCTGATGAGAGCAGGTCAGAGAGATAACCAGAGCAGGGCACCTCAACAGAGAACCCCAAAATGAGAGAGTACACATTACAGGCACTGCAAACACTCAGCATTACAAGTCATTGCTCTGAACCCAGGAAGAAAAGGGACCTTGATCAAGCCCCAGAATTGGATTCTAATGGAAACTAGGGTGAATAAGTGGTTGAGACATAGTTTATAACCTTGGTATCAGTTTTCTTCTGCAACATAAATGTGCTCTGCCAGGCCTTCCCAGTTAGCATTTCACATGCAAGGAGGTAAAGGGGAATCAAGCCTTTCCCAAAGCCATATCTATGTTAAGCATCTTCCCTGCTGTTTCATTTCATCCTTGTCTCTGTCCTATAAGGGAAGCACTATTTTCCCATTTTATAAGTGGCAATACTGAGGCTCAGAGAAAACAAAAAAAAGTAGGCAGTAGCCAAGCCAAGAATTAAACTCAGATCTGTCTGGGTGCCAACTCCAAATTCGTAGAAGGGTACCACCCTGCTCCTGGAGGCTCACCTATGTTCTCTCAGCCCAGCCAGTGTTTATCAACTCTACGGTCCCCTCAAGCTCCCTGTCAGGTCTGCTACTGCACCTTGACATCAATGTTTACTTAAAAGAACTTTCTCCTCTCTTCTGTGTGGTCTGATTGCAGCAAATCCAATGTCAATTTTGCTCATGCTCAATCTCAGTTTAGATAAACCGTTTAGCAGAGTATATACGATAAAGCTCCCTGCCAAGTTATAAATTAAGTAGTCAAACAAACAAACACAAAATCAAATAAAGATCTAATTAGCTTGGTCCAATTACTCTGCTCTCTTCCAGCTAGTCTAGGATAATCTATAACAAACACCATGGAAGCAAAATAAACTACATAGTTTCAAGTCCTTTTTTCCCTCTGTAGCCTTTCTCATATTTCCCTCTCTCTCTCCAGTTGTTTTCCTCTTTTCTTCATTTCTCTTTTTGTTTTCTTGTCTTTCTCTTTCTTCCATTTTATTTTCTCTTCTTCCTTCTTTACCTTGCTTTCGTCTTTTTTTCTATTTGCCTCTAGGGCTAAAGAAGGAAGCTTTAGCCTGGGATAGACTTAAGGCCTCTCATAAAAGCTAAATTCTGAAAGCTATCCGTCAGTTTTTCCTTTCTGACACAAGCAGCCTTGAACTAAAAATCATCTCTAACACCTTTTAGCAATGAAACTGGATACGGGACTCTTCTGGGATGCTGGAATCAGAGTGAGTCTCCTGCTCTCAAATTGTCTCCTTACCCAAGGCGAGGTAGGAACTACTCTTTTTTGAAATGCCAACAGAAAAAAGCCTGGGGCACGGAACTGTCTGGCAAGCACAGAGGGCACCAAACCTAAATCCTTTTCATTTCTCAGTTCCAGCCCCAGTTTAAAAAATCCATTCCAAGCAGGGAGAAGAAAATGACAAGTGAGACAAGCTTTAGCTTTTTAATAATGTGAAAATTGAAGCAATTGAGGAACAGTTATTAATAAACATACAGTTCACCCTATGAAAGCATGGAAATTTTCTCTCTGTAATGTACCATAACCATGAGGGTGGAAATGTTGATTCACTGAAAATGAACCTTTAGCTCTAACTTCCAGCCAGCCACAGGAAATGTGCACAGTGGGAGGAGCACTAAGCTCGGCGTCAAACTCCGTACACCACCTACAAGTTGTAAGACCCTGGGCAGGTCCCTTCCCTCCTTAAACCTATCTCCCCAACTGTCTCTTCACCTATAAAATGGAAGCAAGCAAACAAATAAATAGATCTCCCCTCAAAGAGCGGTCCTGAGGCTTACATGAAGTGAACAGAGTCCAGTCTCAGTTTAAAAAGCAGGTTCAGGATTGAGAATTGCCACTACTCTCCATCTCTTACCCACATTTCCTCACTTGCTGTGTGATCAAAAGGAAGTCACTTCACTTCCCTGGGCCTCACATTCCCACTATTCAAAACCAAATTGAACTGCTGAATATGCAAAATGGTCCAGCCACTCTGGAAACAGTCTGACGTATTTTCATAAAGTAATTATATCCTTAATATGTGACATACCAATCTCACTACTGGGTACTTGCCCTAAAGAAATGAAAATTTATGTTCACACAAACACCTATACACTAATGTTTATAGTAGGTACCCTCATATGTACCATAAAGTAGAAATCCACCTGTTATTCAATGGATGAATGGATAAACAAACTGTGGTATATCCATACTGTGGAATACCAACCACTTGGCAATAAAAAGGAGCGAACTGTTGACACATGAACAACTTGGATGAATTTCACAGGCATTACGTTGCGCGAAAGAAGCTAGCCTCAAAAGGTTGCATACATGGACAGAAAGAGGGAAACCACAGACGCTGGGACTACTTGAAGGAGAGTGAATGAGGGAGATGGGCTCAGAAAAAAAAAAAAACTGTCAGGTACTATGCTTAGTACTCGGTTAATGAAATAATCTGCACACCAAACCCCCAGTCATGAGTTTACCTGTATAACAAACCTGTACATGTACCCCTGAGCCTAAAATAAAAGTTAAAATGTTTTTTGAGTCCATTTATCTGTCATTCTCCATTCACACATACAAAAAAAAAAAACAAATGATGGTGACAGAGGACAGATCACTGGTTTCCAGGGGCGAGGGGTACAGGAAAAGCGTGACTACAAACTGGCAGCCCTGAGCAAGTTTTTTGGGTGATGGAACTATTTTGTATTCTGATTGAGGTTACAGAAATCCACATGTGTTAACATTCCTAGAACTGCAACCAAAAGAGAGGGCATTTCTCTCTGTCAATTTAAAACAAAGAAAATAATAAATTGAGTGAGAATAATAATAATAATAATAGATTACTTTTACTTGTCCATCACTTTTTGATTCCCAAAGTACTTTCATTTGGTTCTCTTAGCTCAGAAATTATAACTGAGAGACATGAAATGACTTGCCTGGTAAAGATTGATGTAATACTTGAACCTATCCTTCCAATTTCAAATTCTGGGCCATTTTCATCACACCTCACTAGGTGATCCTTGCAGTCCTTTTCTAAAAAGCTGTGTGAGTTATGGGTGTTTGTAAGGGAAAACAATTATATATTGTCTATTTTTCTTCTTGTTTTGTTTTGTTATTTCCAAGTTCCTATGTCAACCTGCCCATGGTCCTGGGAATGTTTATATTTTCTTAGAGAAAGACAAAATAGGCCAATGCACAATTCTGTAAAATGACCCCTTAATGAGAAAGTGCTTTTTGGAATGTCTCCTTGAATGAATAATTAGAAAAACAAATTGTAATTTTTAAAGCATTCATTTACGTATCAATTCATTCAACACACTTTACTCAGCCACATCATGTGTCGTTCTGTGACTTGGCACAAGGCATTTCGTCTGCTGTTAAAACTTTCTCTACAGCCATGCACGGTGGCTCACACCTGTAATCCCAGCATTTTGGGAGGACAAGGCAGGAGGATCACGAGATCAAGAGATCGAGACCATCCTGGCCAACATAGTGAAACCTCATCTCTACTAAAAATACAAAAATTAGCCGGGCACGGTGGCAGATGCCTGTAATCCCAGCTACTCAGGAGGCTGAGGCAGAAGAATCACTTGAACTCAGGAAGCGGAGGTTGCAGTGAGCCAAGGTCATGCCACTGCACTCCAGCCTGGCAGCAGAGTGAGACTCTGTTTAAAAAAAAAAAAAAAAAAAAAAAACTCTCTACATCCCTATCTGGCTAACTCCTATCTGTCCTTCAGATGTTAGCTGCAACAACACTTTTCTCCAGAATGTTTCTTCTGTCCTCCTCCAGCAAGCTTGCTTAGGTGCTTTCTTTGTACCCCCATAGCATTCTGTATATTACTCTACATTGATGTTACTAATTTCAATACACCATAGTATCTGTCTCCCCCACTACACTATGAATACTAGAAGGCAGAGACCAGGTCTGAATCATCTAGCACAGGCCTTAGCACAATTAAGGGGCCTTCATTCATTCATTCAACAGTTGTTTACAAGTCCCTTCTCTGAGTCAGGCAATGTTCTTCCGCAAAGAAAAATATATAGACCATGTCCACATGGAGCTTATAATATAAAAGAAGATACAATGAAAAAAAAACAAATAGCATGCATCACTTCTTAATATTATATCATATATCAATGAAAAAAGTCAAAGAGGCAAGGGGCTAGAGTGGAATGGATTCCTCAAGGAAGAAACATTGAAGCAGAGATCTGAATGAGGCAAAACTTTTCATTCCATATTCACCCAGCAGCATTTACTGAGAATCTAGTACCGTTCTTTCATTTGTTTTGTTTTGTTTTGATTTTTTTTCCCAATTTTCCAGGCTGGTGGTCCTTCTCTGGCCCTGAGGGCTTAGTAAGCCTGAGCCCATCAAGTAGTATAGGAATTTGGGGCCCTGGTCCCCATGGTGACTGGACCAATTGGGATCCCTTTTGCCTGATCCTGGGACACTCCCCCCACTTCATTCCCTCTGACAACCTCAGCAAACCTCTCCCGGGCACAGGGTGGTGGGAGTAATTTTAATTTGGAATCCGAGTTGCTGTTTAGATTTCAAACTAGTAAACTGCCAGTCTCCAGCCATTTGAAAACTTGGCTTCCTTTGACTCATAAAGTGTCCTTTATGCCTCAGAGGTGACGTAAAATATCATTCCATCTTTGTCCTGAAATACTCCCAACTGGTGCATGAAATGGGCCTTTATGGTACATCAAAGGCTCATAACTGTATCCTTTCCTGGGCCTTTGATATTTTAATATTTGGCCAATAAAATTATTATCCCTGAAATCCGCAGAGCACTTATTTATTTTGCTGGTTCTATCTTTGTTATTGCTTCAATGGCAGGACAGAGCTAAGGAAAAAGAAGGCGCCCAGCCTCCTGGCAGCCCCAGATTTGGACGTTCTCTAACTTTTATCTCCAAAAGCTAAGGAACTCAGTTTTTGAACTCTTTTGGCTGGAGTCTCCTAAGGGAAATGTCAGACAGCATCTCTCTTAACAAGTGCCTCTAATTTATGCTCCTCAGAAGGCAGCCAAGTTCCTTCCGTGGGCTTCCATGGGCTATCTGGATCTTGAGGAATTGGTTCTGAGTTTCAAAGAAGAGCCAAACCTTCATTACTGTCAGATACATGCTGCTCACATTCCGCTAAGAGCTACCAAATACCTATTACGTGTCTCTTGTTAAGTTAGTAATCTGTGAACCATCTGAAATCCCTTTTCCATTTATTTATTTATTTAAGAATTATTTATTGAGGCTCTGTGTTGCCTCGGACACTAGGCTAGACACCAGGTATACCTAGTCCTAAGACAGTCTGCTCACCCAAACCCTTTAGTCTAACTCCCCTCTCTCTCCTTCTCCTCATCTTAGTTTATTACTGAGTCCTATGGGTTCTGCCTCCTAAAAGATTCTCAGATTAATTCCTCTCTATCAATCCACATAACCACTGCCTTAGATTAGGATCTTGTCATCTCCCAGATGAAGTACTGCAACTGTGTGTTAACAGAATTCTTGGCTGCCAGTGTTACCCCTTATAATCCACTAGGAATCCAGCCATAGACATCAATCAAAAATTCAAATCTGACTTCATCTGTGTTCTGCATCCAACCTCTGAAACTCAAATGCCTTCAAAGTCCAGGCAAGGAATAAAAATGAGTGAAGTAGCAGCATGGAGTCAAGGCTGGGAAGACAATAGAAAGAACTGGAAAATGCATGCCCCACCTACATCAAGGCCCCATGTCAGTCAGGCAAAACACATCATTGGGCTAACTCCAGGAGGTCAGCCTCTGAGCTCTGGCTCAGGATGAAGTCCTACTCCTTAGCCTTTCACTCCAGCCCCATCATGTTTCATCCTGGCCCAAACTCTCTAGTCTCATTTCTCAGCCTGCTCATTCCCTACCCTTGCTTCTATTCTGTGCTGTACCTAGATTAAATTACTTACTTTAGTTTTCCAAAACTCATACATGTTCACACCTTCATGTATTTGCTTATGGTATTATATTCCCTAAAGTTACCCTGATTCCTCACCTAAAGAGTTTTGCTTCATCTTTCAAAACTAATTCTTGGCCGGTTATAATGGCACATGCCTATAATCCCAGCATTTTGAGAGGTCAAAGCAGGTGGATTACTTGAGGCCAGGAGTTTGAGACCAGCCTGGACAACATAGCAAGACCCTGTCTCTACAAAAATATAAATTGAAAATTAGCCAGGCATGGTGGCACATGCCTATAGTCCCAGTTACATGTGAGGCTGAGGTGGGAGGATCACTTGAGCCCAGGAATTTGAGACTGCAGTGAGATGTGATCCCACCACTGCACTCCAGCCTTGGGTGACAGAGTAAGACCCCATCTCTTCTGAAAGGTCCCTATGACCATCCAGAAAGAACTGATCATTCTCCCACTCCTGTCTTTGTTTTTTGCCTTGTGCAGTCTCCTATAACTGACTTCCTGTCACTTTGCATCTATTGATTAGTGAGTGGCATGGACAGGATAAACAGTGCATTCCCTGTGGCTAGTGCTTGCTGGGTGACACTGGCCAATCTTCGTTGCCCTGGTACCTTGTACTGAGAAGATACCACAGTAAAGTATGAAAACTGAGTTATCAAATTCAGTACTAGGTAATTTCACATACTTCTTATTTACACTTTACAAGAAGCAGTCTGAGAGATACATATCATTATCACACCCATTTTCTAAGTGAGGAAACTGAGGCTCAGAGAGAAGAAGCAGTAGCCTAAGTTTACATAGCAAATGAGTCATAGAGCAGGAGTTTGGCCCCAGGTCTTCTAACACAGAGACCAGCCCACTCCCAACAATGCAGCCCATCTGGCTCTCAAGTCAAATGCAAATATACCAGTGGAGAGTTCTAGAAGTACTGGTGGTGTCTTTCAAATAGACTAAATAGTGTTAAGATCAATGATGGCAGAAGAAGATTTAAAAGGTGAAAAAGAAAATGCACAAAAAGAGTCAGATACACAAGGCATATGGCTCTGCTTAATCATGCGCTTGCATGTTTTACAGACTATTACTTCATAAAGAACTCTGCACTCTTAGGCAGGTGTCCCGGGTTCTGGCCCCAGTGTTGCTTCTAGCTTGCTAGGTAATCTTGAGCAAGCCACTTCCCCATTTGGAGCCTTCAATTCTTCACCTTTAAATGTAGAGGCTAGACTTCATGGTAATTGAGGTCTATTCCTGCTGTGTGTCTCTCTAATTTCTTATCACCAACATCTGGAGAGGCGTCAGAAGTTACAGCACTCCTAGGTCCACCATTCCTGGTTCAGGCCCTGCTCCCCATCCCTCCTTCCTGCTCTACCTTTCTCTTTGGAGATCCTAGCACCTGGGATGCCAGTGAACAGATGGGGAGAGGAGCAGCAGTGAACGAGAATGACTCCAATTCCTCACATCAAGTAGGCAGGTTTCCAGGGTGAATAGACCATTCAAATGTATGGCCTCACACATGGGAGGTTCTCCTTTTTTAAAGAGCTTGCATTTCCTATCATCTTCGTTTGTATCTTTAAAATGTAAGACTGAAGAATTCACTAATATTAGATCAGGGAAAATGTCAACTCCTCTTAAATGTATTTGACTCCTACCCCTTCCTCCTTTAAAAAAATGAAGAAAAGTAAAAGATAATTAAATAAAAAAATTACTATTTATAAATAATTTACTGGTCTTTCAATAACCTGTGGGTTCCCCATTGTCCTGTTCCTCAAGTCAATACCCCATACTGGATGCCCGAACCTGGCAATGGAGATGCAGAAGGACACTATTATAGTAGATCAGGCCTCACCAACCCCAGCCTGAGCTATGACACTGGCAGAGGAAATACAGAGGAGGAGATTAATGTGAGAGGTAATTCAGAATCAGAATCCACAGGACTTAGTTAACAGTAGGACGTGGGAGGTGAGACCAAGAAGGAATAGCCTAGGATAACTCCATTCTGGTTTGGGTGGCGTGATAGATAGATAGATGATGGTGCTTTCTAACTGGAGAAGAGATATAGAAAAAGGGGTACTTTTGAGGAGCAAAGGTGATGAGTTCAGTTTGGGACATACTGAATTTGAGGTGAGACATCCAAATGTAGATGTTCAGTAAATAGTTGGACCCCATTTTGGTAGATAGTATTATTGCCAAGATATACGTTTTTCCCTCCTATAGGGCCCTCCCCTATTGGGCTTATCCCTGAGAAGAATTATAATTCCCACTCATTGACATTGGACTTGTCCATATGCTTGATTTGACCAACAAAAGTGAAAGAAAATGACAGATGTCATTTGCCAGTAAAAAACTGTCATCACCAAATCATGATTCTGCCATTTTTCCCCTCTGCCATGAGACTGGCATGTCTCAGAGAGGAGCTGCCCTCTCAGCTGTGATCCAGGAAAAATGAAGATCTGGAGTAGAGCCACAGCCAACCTAAGAGAGCAAGAAAGGCATCCTTGTTGTTGTAAGTTATCAACATTCGAGGGTTAGTTGTTACTGCAGCCAAACTGAGCCTAAAGTGATATACTCACCCTCTCCTGTTATGGAAGAAGAAACTAAGGCCCAGAGTAGAAAAAGAAATTGTCTCATCTTTAGAATCTTAATAAAGTATAATTTTTCTCATATCCACAAAGAAGTTCTCATGTCAACAGTTTTTGCATTCCTTGAAATTAATATGTTAGAATTGAATACCTCAGTAGCCTGGCCCAGTTTCCTTTTTTCAAAATAAGTAAAACATTATTTTCTTTTCCTCTGCAGAGATTTCATCTGTAGAATTTTTTTCTCAGTTCAAAGGTTCCTGTCTGGCATCAAAGCCCATTAACATGAGATTTCTTTCCCACCAATTTCCCTCCCAACTTCACAATACTGACTTTATACACAAAAGTTTTACTTGGAGTGAAGGCCAGGTGTGGGAAATTTAAAGACAAAAAGCCATTTAAAAATATCTGCAGAGTGGAAGAAAGAGCACAAGACCAGGAGTCAAAAGATTTGAGTTTTACTCCTACCTGAGTCACAACATCACTGTGAGACCTTGAATAGTTCACTTCACGGCTCTGGGCCTCAGTCCTCTTACATGCCATAGAGAATCATATGTGCCATGCCTATTTCTAAGGATTATTTGAAGATGAAATGAATCTATTTGGAAGTGTTCTTCGAACAACTGAGAGCTGAAAGCATAGATGTGTGTCTGTGGAGGTGTAGGACTCCAAGGATTAAGTATTGCATTGCCAAGCAACCTGAGACAAGCAGCATCTTGGCACAGAGTAAAATCGCAGCTGCCTGCTGAAAGCTTGTGCATCCTGCCAGACCACGAAGCAGAAGTTTGGATGGAGGAAAAAGATTTTTAAAGTACTTGCAGCATTTGAGTTTCCCAAAGAGTAGGATTTCTGGCCCAAGTTTCAAGGGGGCAAAGTTCTTGGAGTCTATTTGTAGAGTGGAGGAAAGAGCACAGGACCAGGAGTTAAAAGACTTGAGTTTTACTCCCACTTGAGCTGCAGAACAACATATTACAGATCTCATCAGACCTTTACAACCATCCAGTTGTAGCCTGTTGTTTTTCATGTTCTTCCTATGAGGACCTGAGTCTCAGAGAGGGGAAGACATGTAAAATGAAGCCCCCAGGATCACTTTGGAGGAAGGGAGGGACATCATGGAGGTACCCTTTAAAAGTTGTAGGGTGGGATGGATGGGGTGACGTGAAGGCAGGGAGGCTGGGTGATGGGAGACTGCCCCATCCAGAGGAAAGCAGCTGGAGCCTGGGCCACACAGAACATTCCAGCTCTGGGAGTAAACTGGGAATTTGTAAATATAGGTCATTTGCCCAAGGTCCTGTGACAAATGAGTAGAGAAACAGGCCTAGAACCCAGATCTTCGGCTCTGAACATGGTTTTCTTTCCTTTATTTCATATTACTGCCTTAGTATAAAATGTTCCTCATAAGATAACTGAAAATTTGCAGGTAACAAAGTCTTGAATCTTGAAGACAATTTTTAAAAAGTAGGGCACATAGATAAATGGAATCAGAAAACAAACCATGTAAAACAGCTTGCACGCCATCTAACAGATCTATCAGGGCCAGACTTGCACCTGCCATCTTTCCTCTTTCCCTTTTCCTCATGGCTCTCTGCAAAAGACACACTGAGTATGTATGGAGAGTGTTTAGGAATTAAATTAGTGAGAAAGGTGTGTGTGTGTGTGTGTGTGTGTGTGCGTGTGTGCGTGTGCGTGTGTGTGCGTGTGTGCATGCGTGTGTGTGTGTGTGTACTTTTTTAAAAAAAGAATATGAAAACAAACCTTTTTATGCATTTAAGGTTATTCATTTAGGATAGCATCAGAAATATTTTCTGAAAAAGCTCAGAAAAAAAAGAAAACAACAACAACAAAAGAAAACAGGCTCTGTCACAACTATTTAACTCTGCCATTAGTAGGCAAAGCAGCCACAGGCAATACTTAAACAAATTGGGGTGCCTGTGTTTCAACAAAACTTTATTTACAAAACAAGAGATGGGCTGGATTTGGCTCACATGCTATGGTTTGCAGATTCCTGCTTTAAGATAAGGTTGTTCATAATTAGAACACATGGACACAGGAAGGGGAACATCACACACCGGGGACTGTGTGTGGGGAGGGATAGCATTAGGAGATATATCTAATGCTAAATGACGAGTTAATGGGTGCAGCACACCAACATGGCACATGTATACATATGGAACAAACCTGCACGTTGTGCACATGTACCCTAAAACTTAAAGTATAATAATAATAAAATTTAAAAAAAAAGATAAGGTTGTTCATTAATGCACTATCCATAAGAAGGAAACATTGGCACCAATGCTAGGGAAATAAACAGCATTCAATAATCATGCCAGCACAGTAGGTAACATTTTAAAAGCTATAATATGGCCATCTTATAAAATAATGTAGAGCCATTGAAACAAAGGTTATGGAGTATATAGAGCTGCATTGAGCGTTTACTACCTACCAGCACCGTTCTAAGCATTTAATATGAAATAACTTATTTAATCCTCCCAACTACATCTATGAGGTAGGTGCTGTTATTTAGTCTTATTTTTAAAAATGCTTTTCTATGCTTGCATAGCTCCTGTAATGTGTACACAGCTGGAGGGGGAAGACAGGGAGAGGCTTGCAGTCCTCAGCATGCTCACGGGCTAGGATGCCCAACTAACTCCAAATCTTTGCCTCTTGAATGGTTCCCTCGTGGACTCCTGTCCCCTTAGAAAAAACTCCTTAATGAAAATGCTATCTCCAAATTCTAATAATTTCCAAAAGCTGAAGGATTCATAGCTTTCCAAAGCTAAGTTGCCATTTTTACTGTTTCTGTTTGACTAGAAAAACATGTGAAGCCTGAACTGCTCTCTAATTGAGTAGACTTCCCAGAGAAAGACTGGATGTGGCACATGAGCATTTATTCTTAGTCTGTCTCCATTTTTCATCATCAATAGCCTCTCTGCATTGCCGAGAAGGAGAATACAGTCATTAAGACCATGTTCTATTCTGACACTAGCACTGTCTGGATGGGTGACTTTGAGTCTCTCATTCAGCCTCTGTGGGTGTTGGTTTTTCTATGTGTTAAATAAGCACATGAAAATAGATAATATTCAAACTATTTTTGGCTCTAAAATTTTGGTCTATGTTCAAAAAAAAAGTGGGAGAGGGAGAACTAAAATGTGAGAGAATGAGACTCATCTAGGCTCTGTCACCCTCTTATTCTACAACCTTAACCAAGTCCTGGGCCTCAGTTTTCCCAAAGGTTAAAAAAAAAAGAAATCATTGCTAACTCTTAAATTTACTGTGCACCAGACACTAATCTAAGCCTTTTAGTTCCTATAGCCCTACAAGTTAGACATACTATCATTATATTAATATATATTTATAGAGAGGAAACTGAGAGGTACAGAGAGGTTAAGAACATGTTCAAAAGCCACACAGCTGGAAAGAATTGGAACTGGACTTCAAGCCAGGCCATTTGACCCCAGAGTCCGTACACTTAGGCATGACATTAGAATGTCTCCAAAAGGGTTGAATTAGATGATCTCTAAGGACCCTTCTGGCTTAAACATTCTATAGGTCTATGATTCTAAATCATCTTGTGCCATCTTACTTTCCCCTCTCCTCTATACCAGCCTACCTTCTCCCCTCCTCACCTCCCACGTACCTCCACCCCATCCAGAATTCTGTGTATGCAGTTGTGAGGACTTTGTCTGTGGTTAGGGAAGAAAAGACAACCAATTCTATTCCCCTTAGCTCCACAGAAGCCCAAGACTCTGGTAAGAGGCAGACTAACTCACATCCCATTGGAACAGCAGGCCCAGGGCTTCCCTTGGCCTACTGGGTCTTGGTAATAGAAGATAATATTTATAACTTTCTGATATCTGCACCTGGTCAGGACTATGTAGGGCTGTTTTCTCACTCTCACTACAAGCCCAGGTTTTCAACAAGGACATCGTATTTTCATTAAGCAGATAATTATTGGCCATCTGCTGTGTGCCAAGCACCTGGTTAGGAGATGGGAAAAAAATAGCAGTGAATAAACAGATCAGTTCCTGCCCTCATGAAGCTTATAGTGAGAAGGAGGAAGGAGCAAGCCATGGCATGGGGAGTACAGCAGGGGTCTAGGGCACTTGAGCAGGCAGGGGTTAAGTAGTAGCTGGCTAAGAGGATGGGGAGCAAAAAAGAAAAATCTAGACTGAAAGGAAAGTTGTAAAGTGGTACATTCAAGAGTAAGAGTAAAAAAAATCAGCCATGCTTCCTCCTCTGTAAAGTAGAAAAATGAACACTTGTGCAGCAACTGCTGTGCGCTAGGTGCCTTATACATTTTACCACATTTACTCCTCAAAGCAATCCTCAAAGGTCAATGTTATTCTCTCCACTTCAGAATGGATAAAGCTGAGCATCAAAGACATAAGGTGCCTTGTGCAGGATCCCATCTGCAGCCTTGAGTGCAGCCGGGGTTCACCCCTAAGCCTGAGTAACTGCAAAACCTGTGCTGCATGCACACTCCAATCCAGGCTGCCCCTCCTGGGGTGCATGGTCAGAGGAGAAGAGGTAGAGAAAGAACTACCCACCAGTGTTGCTTAAAGCATGTTCCATGCACCAGGCCCAAGCCCCTAAACTGAGAAGAGCATTTAGAAACTTTTAGAGCAATTTGACAAAGTAGCATTTTATGGCTATTGAATTTAATAATAAAAAATTGGGATTTGAAGTTTGTCTTTTTTTTTCACTTTATGTCAGCAGGAATTTATTTTTATTGAATTTTATGGAAGTGTTGGCCCATGAGAGATTGAAGTTTTAAAAATAGTTTTGATTCGGGAGGCTGGGGCAGGAGAATGGCTTTAGCCAGGAGTTTAAGGCTGCAGGTTACAGCACTCCAGGCTGGATAACAAAACAAGACACTGTATCTTAAAAAGACAAAATTTAAGATAGTCTGAGAAATGTTGCTATCAAGGAAAGGCCCTGGATTCAAAATCCAGAGACCTTGGCTCTGGCCTCTGTCAGCTAAGCCAATGGCCCTCTAAGGAAACTTAGTCAGACAGCGAGCCTCCCTGGATGAGTTATAACTTGCTCTAAACTGTAGATCATCAAAGATGGCCTCATATTAAAAATCAAATCACTGCTTGTTGTGGTATGGAGAAGAGGGGTGGTGTTGGAGGGAGGAGAGAGGGAGAAGGGAAGGGAGGGGAAATAAAATCAAGATTATACACTGGCATCCTTTATTTGCATTATATTGTGAAGGAGACGAAAAGACAGATCAAGGCAATTATTTTTTCTAACTTTAAAGTTAGAAAATACAATTTTCTTTAAAGAAAATGACACACTAAAAATTAGAGAGATGAAGACCCAGCTCTCCTTTGGAAAGCTCTAATACTCAAGAAGCAGGACCCAACTTCTCCTTGAACCCAGGCAGGTCTGCACCTGCCTTTGACATATGGCCTCTGCTTGTGGGTTTCTCCTCCAGCCCAGCCTTCTGCCCAGACTAACACGAAATTGGGACTCCATTTGTGCCTCTGCTAAATGCTGTCCCTCAAGCTCATGTCTCCTCCCCTAAGAACTAGAAAAGTCTCCCTGCCTCTTCCAGGGTTTGGAATCATCCAGGTTCCCACTGGAGAATTCCAAAAATTATAGCCTAAGGAGCACTGAAGGGACAATTTCAGATCCTGATCTTTCATACTTTTGTTTTGAATATGAAGAAACTGAGGCCCCAAAACTAGAAGTGACCTGCTCAGAACTTGGACCCAGATCTCTGTCTGTGGAATTGCTTCTCTTTTCCCCACTAACTGTTTGTGTCAGGACCAATCTTGGCATTGAGAGTGTGAGTTCATTTTTCACTCTAAAATTCCTTGGGCAGGTAATTTTATTTCCATTGCCCTGAGGGGAGGAACTCATGAAGCATGTGGCACACAGTTCAAAGAGAGTGGCAGAATGAAAATATGCCCACCCACCTCCCCAACTCCCTCCCCCACGCAACCCAACCATTTCTCATCTTGTGTTACAGCTCAAACCTAATGTAAGTCTACATGAAAGAAGAAACCTTTGCTGGTGTTTTTTAAGTTAAGTGCGGCCAAGGGCGATGGTTGCCCCAGACTCAGAGGCCATCGGTTGGAACACTCAGGGTGCCCCTCGGTGCAATTTGGTTTGGAGGTCTGTTATGAAAAACCACCCAGGTGGGTTTTATTTTTGTCTCCCACCCCAGCTCCTTCCAAGAGCTATTTCCTTTATTTTTAATTCTTTATTGCCTAAAGGCAGAATGCAAAAATCCCAACCCAACCTCAAACAAGGGGTTTTCCTCACTTCAAACAAATTTTTCAGGGTTTCTTTTGCCCAAACCTGGATATTCCAAGTTTCTCCATTATCATCCCTGCCAACAATTTTGTACCTGAAATTTGCTGCTACTCCCTCCTTAAATGGCTTGCTCCGGTGAATCAAGAATAACCTTGCATTAAGACAGAAGCTTTGATGCCTTGACGATAGAGAATGCCAGAAACATCCAATTTTCCAATAAGCTGACCAAATTCAGCAATCGTTATTTTATTTGCTAATTTTAAAATTGATTTTGCATACACATGAGAGAGAGAGAATATTCTATACTTCAAAGCCCCTCTCTTTAAAAGGAATAAATGCAAGAAGTAGAAGTAGAAAAATCCTACCTCAGAAGAAGTAGGGGTTAAAAGCATGGATCAACCAGACTTAAGGACTAATTCCATTTCTGCCACTTAGTAACTAGTGACTTTGGTCAAGTAACTGAACCCCTCTGACTCTCAGATTTGATAATCACAGCACCAATCTCATGAGGTTTCTCTGAAAAGTAACTAAAATTATCTACGTAAAACATTTATACAGTCCCAGTATATATGGCAGTTACTGCACATATCATAATATATAATATATGCATGCTTTTCATAATTATTATTAATATAAAATCATCATTTTGAGCCACAAAACATAATTTCCATGAAGGCAGGAACTTCAAGTGTCTTTTGCTTCCCTATCTCTATTGCCTGGAACAATGTCTGACTCAGAAGAAGTACTCATTAAATATTTGTTAAATAAGTGAATAATAAATGTTAGAAAGAACCTTAAAGATGATCTTAACCAGGTCCTGAGAGCTCTATCAAGATATTAACCATTTTAGTTCATTTATTTTTGCATAATTATAAGTTATTTCCCTGATTTCCAAGTTTTCCAAATGGGCATGCATTCGTTAGTTATAAAAATATGTATTTTCTGTATTTCCAAATTGCCCCTAATTTCATACATAGAAACTTTTAATACTAACATATCCATGTGCTTTGTTCTGCTCTGAGCAATTTTTGATACATAATACAAAGACTTTCATTTCCCAGAGGTGAAGGCACAGGTAAGACTTTTCTTCAATTTTAATTGGAAATCTATCAAATTTGAGGTTTTTCCATTTTTAATTTATCAGGTTGAGAAGCAAAATCTTTCAAAGCATAAACTCCATTTTTGGATTATGATAAGCGAGGTTTTTTTTTATGAAAAGTTAGGGAACCCCTGAACAGGTCTTATGACCAGTGAGTTAGGAAAAGGTACTTAATGTTCATAAATGGTAATTATATACTTTAACACAGTTAATCTTCAAAAGACTCTACAGAGATACCTAGGTACTTCGATTGGGTACCATGGTATAATAAAAATCTCTACCCCCAGTTTCTGGCACAGAGCTTTCAAAGCCCTTTAAATTACTTAAGTGATAGAAGTGTCTTTTGATATTCATCACATATCTGACTTAATGCCAAAAAAGTGACTCAAGGTGGGCTTTTAGATAGTTTCCAGGGAGGGGCTGGAAACACGTGTAATTAGAGAGTTGGAACTTCAGCCCCAGCCTCTGACCTCTCGAGAAGGGAGAAGCCTGGAGATTGAGTTCAATCACCAAGGGCTCATTATTTAATCAATCATGCCAACACAATGAAGATTCAGTAAAAGCTCTGCAACAGCTGGGTTTGGGGCAATTCTGGGTTGGGGAGCATACACACATGCTGGGAGCATGGTATGCCCGGAGAGGTTATGGAAGCTCTGTGCCACCCCTTACTTTGCCCTATACCTCTCTTCTAATTGGCTGTTCTTGAATTGTATCCTTTATAATAAAATGGTAATTGTTAAGTATAGCACGTTCCTAAGTTCTATGAGTTGTTCAAGTGAATTATCAGACCTGAGGGTGCGGGGTGTGGGGTGTGGGAATCCCTAAATTTGCAGCCAAGTTGAACCGAGGTGCAGGTAGCCTGGGGGGCCCTGGACTTGTGACTGGCTTCTGAAGTAAGGGCAGGCTTGTGAGACTGAGCTTTTAAGCTTGTGGAGTCTGATGCTAACTTCAGGTAGTTAGCGTCAGAATATGATTGAATTGTAGAACACCCTATTGATGTTGTAGAATTGGTGTCAGAAAAACACAAACACCTCATCTATAATATGGGGAAAGAATGCTCAAAGGAAATTAAAAAGTAACCAATGTTACGTCTCCCTTTTTCTCTCTGTGTATTTCCTAAGGAGACTGCCTGCCTTAGAGTCAACTTCTAACCCATCTTCCCCACACTGTACTTCAATTCTTCCTATTGGAGAAGTAATCAAATCCGACTTTCATGGGTCCACATTTCTGCATGAGGTGGAGTTCACAGCCTTGACCTGTGGTCCTTACCACTGGAACTAGATAATTGAGGGGCAACAATTCTTCTTGCAGCAGAATGCATAAGCATTTCCCCATTCCACAGATTCATACTCTCTCTTCAATATGTCATCCAAAGTCCTGGATTTGGGAAAATTAATAGGAAGCCTACTGGGGCTCAGGTCCAAGTCCTGCCATCTAATGCAATGCTACCATCACTGAAGCCAGAACACTTACCTCCATCTGTCTCTTGTGACTATTTCTCAGTTGATTCAGAACCTGTAGGGAGGGTGGAAATGATTATCTTTCTTAAACCCCTATCAACAGGCATTGCTTTCCATTATGATTCCAGAGCTGCTTTTCTTCTTTTATTCCTCATAGTCTCACAATAATGAGACCAAAAAAAAAAAAAAAAAAAAAAAAAAAAAACTAGAGAGAAGAGAATGAATAAGGATTTTTTTCTATTTGTAGTCTAGAACATTAACAATATTGCATAAGGGAAAGAAGATGGTCCCTCTATTCTATCCAAACCACCTCATGTGGCTTGGAAATTTTGTGATATTTCCTGGAAATACATTTTGTCTTGAAAAGAACTCACCGTGAGTAGTGCCAACCTATGTTTCCATGTGTTTTATACATTTTACATTTACTTCAATTATGGAAACAGCCCTTTGCAAGCCAGGAAGTGTGTATAAAAATGTGTGTGTAGAACAATAATTTTTCTTAAGGTTTATTTCATTTAAACATAAAATAAAACACACCATGGATTGGATGGAATGACTTAATTAAAGACAACCTCTCTCTTCCTGCAGCTCTTTTCATAGCTGTGGGACTAAAATTTCCAAAGTATTATTTTTGACTGTTTTCCTAAATCATCAACATATTGAAAACAGCTGTCAGCTAGGTGCAAGTCGCTAGAGGGAAAATGCCAAAGGTATCTTTCTCCCCAAAATGAATTTAACCATTGACCAACAGGTCATCTTTGTGCCTTTGTGATTTGGGAAAGATGGAGTTTAGTTGAAATCCCATTGTTCATAAATGGACATTATTCCTGCCCCTGTCGGATTTCTGAAATTTGCATTTTCAGCCCAGGTGCATTTAACCAGCTCTGTAAGACTCTCCCACCAAGAACACCAGTAAAATAGGGCTCAGAAGCAGTCATTTACTACGTGTATGCCCTAAATTGTCTTGCCTAATCCTTAGGTCAACCATGCAAAGTAGATATTTTTATCTACATTTTACAAATAAGGAACTAAAACTCAGAGATGAAAAAGCATACAGGGCCTTTCTTTCGGAGGTCATGGAGCCGAGTGAGTGGCTGAAAAGGGACTGTAATCCAGGTCTGGCTGGAGAGCTGGTGCTAGGAACAGCAACACATTGCAGACCAGGAAGTCACAGGGAGCATGCGCAGATGCTGTGGCACCAGCAAGCCGGTAGCTACAATACAGACATTTAATAAATGCTGAGCAAATGCTCAGAGCATAGAGTCTTGTGTTTTGTTTTAAAGTGAAACCATCTGAAGCGGCCCCGTTTCCTCCTGTAAAGCAAGTTTTAGGGGAGAAAAAAGACCTGAGAAGCTGTAAGGCATTGATATGGTTGTTGGTTTTCCATGTTATCATCTCCCAATTAAGAGGAAAGGAAACCTGCTGGCTTGGAGCTGTGGCTCTGCCCCCAGAGAGCTCTCGCTGGAGGGTTTAAGAGAAAGGGAGATGATGAGATCAGAAACCCTATCTGCCTCTCCTCCTGTGGCACAGTGGAGTTGCTGTTGAAAAGCTCCGGAAAGTCCTGTGTGCTAGAAGATTCAGAGGGACATAAACTGCCCCATCCTGCCCCCAACCTCAGCTGCCTTCTCAGACATTCTCCAGAAGTGGAATAATTGGACCAAAGAGAATATGTCTCAGGAAGCTCTGCTTCCAGATCCCTGTCCAGACTTGTTTAAAGACAGCTGCTCTGATCATTAAAATGAAATAGGACATGTAACCAGATTATAGGGAAATTATTGCTATTAACAGTAATAATTACTCTCTGTTCAAGTAGCTTCCTGAAATTAAAAAAAAAAAATCAAAGCAGAAGCTTTCAATTACTTTACTTAACAACCTATACGAACCCTTTGAGTATGTGTATGTTTGTGAAGCATCAGAGACAGAGAAAATTAGGGTTGGGGAGAGAGGAAGAATGAAGGACTATTTTGTACTTTACAGTAAATAGACTGTGAATTGTGTGAATACTTATTTTCATTAAAACAAAAACATTTAGAGAGTACCTGTAGTATGCCAGGCTCTGTCAAAGGTGCTGTGGATATGGATCCAAGTAAGACTGAGTACCCTGTTCTGGAGAAGCTCCAGTCTCCAGCAGGAGACACAAATTCAGAGGCAACCATTCTGCAGTATAGCAGGTGCCATGAGAAAGGGAAGCATGAGTAGCCAGAATCACACAGAGGGGCAAGCTTCGCTCCACTTGGCTGGGGAAAAGGGAGGGTAGACTTCCTGGAGGAAGGAATGCCTAAGCCACATCTTGAAGGATGTGCAGGAGTGAGATGGAAAAGGAAGGTTGAGCAGAGTTTCTGAGCACAAAAGGCCCAGTGGTTTGCTGTGATGACCTCAGTCACTGAAGATGAGGCTGGAGATGAGGCTGAAGGTGAGGGTGGGTAATAGACAACTAAAGGACAAGACATCCAGGGAGAATTTTAAGCAGAAGGAGCATTTTAGAAATACAACTATGGCCGTAGAAAGGGAGAAGTATTAGAAGGCAACTGCAGGGAACCATGCTAGAAAAGAGCTGGCCCTGAATCTATAGACAGGAGAACATGAGTATTAGAAATCTTTGAGAATTAAAGACTTGTAAGGTTAGGTTGGTGGATGGATGTTGGCAGGGGTGACATTCAAAGGTTTAACAGCCAGAACAGCACAGACATTGGCGAATCAGAACAGACACCAGCTAAACACAACTGGCAGAGCCGAAGTATGCCTCCTGGCTGATAGAAGCCCTGGCAAGAGTTTCTAAACACCTTTCCATCCACGTCAGCCTGCAGGTGAGTTGCCTAGCTCGCTCATGGAGGCATGTCATTTTTACCAGCATTTCTTCACTTCCCTGCTATGGTAGCTTGATGGCACTAATAGGTCCCTCCTTCTTGACTCCTCTCAGTTATTTTGGACTTCAGGGTTTTATGAAGGCATAAAAACATGAAGGCAGAGTACATTCCCCCATCCCATGTGACTCACTTTAGCCAATATGACGAAGTGGAAGTAATGGTGTTCCAGTTTGAGCCTGAGCCACAAGAGGCCCTACATGTTCCCTCTGGCTCACTTGTACCTCTGCCATTTTCATAAGACCATGTTCGGGCTAGTTTTTTAAGGAATGAGAGAGACACAGAGCAAGGCACAGGAAACCCAGTGACCCCAGCTGAGGCCATGCTAGACCAGCCAACAGACAACCCCTGATGTGTGACCAGGCCCAGACAAGATCAGCAGAGCTGCCAAACTGATCCCAGATAACTCCTGACAGATAAGAGTTTATTGCTGTATGCATTAAAGTTTTGTGGTTGTTTGTACAATGGCAATAGATAATGGATACTTCCTCCCTTCTAACTCCTTCCTTTCCCCCAGCACACATACACATACCTGTCTTACAAAACAGTCAGTGTGTCATCCAACTCTTATCAGCATTCTTAATACAAAGGTATCAAAAATATTTAACAAGGAAAATACTTAAAAATAAATCTGCAGGTGGCTTATAGACAGAAAGTCTCTCAAAAATCCCCACTGTCATTGAGTAGAGCCAGAACCTCTGGAAAAATGCAGAGTATGGCAGGAAGTGTCTAAGTTGGAGAATTATCTAGAACATCTCTGCCTTCCATTGCTTGAGCACGCTGCATCCAAATTAAGCATTTCTTTATTATAAATCCAATGCATTAGGGCTCTAGGGGATCAACAAATCATGTGCCTTTCTTCTTATATATTCAAAGCCAACTAAGATAGACATAGGACCCAGGCAGATATAGATTAAAAAAAAAAAAAAAAACAGCTTTTATGCTGATAAAAGAACATGGCTGCTTTAGATAGGGCCAAAAGGATTAGTCAACAAGATACTTCAGCCTGGAATTAAACTCACCCACTTGGCATGGGGGATGGTGGGAGTGAGGGGCTCCCAGAAGGGCAGACTCAGACTGCCTAGGGTGGCTGTGAGCAGACCAGGACACACGCTCCTGTTGGCTGACAGACTGCCTCCCACAGCCACCATCAGACAGGCACTCCCCTTCCCTGGCAGAGAGACCAGGAGAGGTGGTCTTGCTGGAGGCCCTCCATATGGAAAGGTGAGAGATGAGGAAAAACGCTCCTGCTGACATTCTGGCAATATTCTGTTGCCTTAGATTACCACAAACTTTTCAGTAATGTTGCTGCTGATTTTGCCCAAGCCATGACATCTTCCCTTCTTCCTGATAGCAATCATGGCATCCCAGCAGGAAGAGACTGACTTCTAATGCTGCTGTCCATGGGGGACTCTTCTCATGTAATTCAGCCATGGGTGCACATGTGTGCACACTCATACACACCCTTACACATATATACTTATTTACATACACACTCACACATGCACACATTCATGCATACACATGTACACATTCACATGTACATACTTATACACACATACACAAACACACACAGATACATACCATGCTGCAAATACAATGCCTTCACTCTTGACAACTTCCTAACCCAAACTCAGAGGACTCAGGCTTCCCAGTAAGGGGTGCACTGGCCAGAGCTGAGCCTGTCCTAAAGAAGTTTCATGGCTTAACTCAGAGATTGTACTGGACAGTTTGTATCCTAAACTAAGTGTGTAAGTCTGATTCCTGCTGTGTTACCCCCTAGTCATTTGTCCTTAGGAAAATTACTCATTGGAGACAATAATAGAACCCTATAGGTTTGTCACGAAGTTTAAATGAAATAAGTCATGTGTCCAGCCTGTGGTAGTTAGGCTAGTAATATATCACAACCTTGACATAACTTATGTAACTGCTTTCTACTTGGGGGATTGGGAGCCTCTGGACGCTTCTATTCACCTTCGCCTGGTTTGCATGGCCCAGCTTGACCTGACCCCTCACTTACCCTTCCACCTTCATCTCTTGCCACCTCACCATATCCTCGATGCTGTAGTTATCCTGAGCATAGTTCATGCTCACGAACATCCATGGCTTCCAGATCCTGTTCCCTTTGCCTGGAATACTGTAGCCATCCCCTCCCTCTTGCATGCACCCTAAGCCTGGCTAACTGCTGTCATGAATCAGTTCTCATGTAAGTATCATTTTCATCCATTCAACAAATATTTGTTGAGTGTCTACTTAACGCTTTCATTCATCTCCTTGAGCTGCCATAACAAAGTGCCAAAGACTGGGCAGCTTACATAACAGAAATTTATTTTCTCACAATTCTGGAGGCTGAAAAATCCAAGATCAAGGTGTTGGTGGGGTTGTTTATTCTAAAGCCTCTGCTTGCAGATGGTTGTCTTCCCCCTGTGTCTTTATGTAGTCTTCCATCTATGAGTGTCCACGTCTAATATCCTTTCCTTATAAAGTCATCAGATATATCAGATTAGACCCATCCTAATGACCTCCTCTTAGCTTAATTACCACTTTGAAGACCCCATCTCCAAATATTGTCATATTCTGAGGTCCTAGGAGTTAGAATGTCAACATATGAATTTTGGGAGGATACAGTTCAGCCCATAAGACTGCCAGAATACTAAGTATTTCCTATTCCCCAAACCTGGATGAGAAGACACTTCTGAGTACTCCCACATATCTCCAATTATGTCAGGATATATCATTATGATGTACTTCTCCAACACAGTAGATTGTGTTTCCCGCCAGACCTCAGTCCAGTAAGGACAGGCATTGCATTGGCCTTAGTCACTATGCTAGGCTTTCTAAATACAATAATGAGCAATATAGAGTAGATAACTAGGATATTTCTTGACTGAATAAATGAATGAATCTCCTTTGCTGTTATATCTGCATGCCAAAAACACCTCCTTAATAAATAACATGGCCTAGAAGAATGTGTGATAATAATCCCCTACATTGAAAGAGCCCTTTACACTTTAAAGTGCCTTTATATTTCTTATCTTATTTCCCCTCCTAAGCAGCCCTGCAGTGTGAGTACAATTGTCTTCATTTCACAGAAGAAACAACTGAGGCCCAGGGAAATTAAGGATATTGGCCAAGTTCCCTCTTCAAATAAGTAGATCTGATGAACCCAGGCTACCTCAGTGGATAAGCACAGCTTTTGAAATTACAGTGAACTAGAATTAAATTTTTAGTAAAATGTCATGCCTCCCTTGAGAAATTTGAAGCTGGTGACTGCAGAAACTAAAGTGTTGTTGGAACCAAGAAAATGCATCTTGGTTCCTCCTTATAGTGAAGTTTCTATCATTTGGTCTTCCAAGGATGATAGAGACTGTGTGGAACCTCATATGTAAATACTAGTCTCATCTTTTAAAGTTTGAAAGTTTGAAAAATAGTCTGATCTTCAAGCAAGCCATTTAATAGCCTTGCCTTTTCAAGTTTAACATTTCTTGAAGAAAAAAAATAGTCCAGTGCTTGTTGCTTTTGGAATCTACTTCTTATTACTCACGTTTTTTCCTCTCCAAATGAAAATCATTTCACATTTTGGTAATGCCTCTTGGCAGCATTTATTGAGAGCAGTCAACAGGCACCTCCAGGATCCAGCATGACCTGGCTATAGAAGGAGGAGCAGGGCATGGGAAACTATGTGATTTTTTAACACAGTCATTTGAAAGCAGGAGAGGCATTGGGCTTAAAACAAAGCACACTGTGATCCTTGTGTAAAGCAAGCATAAAGTAATGCTAAAAAGCATGGGCTTTGGCACATTTAGACCTGCTTTCAGATCCCGGCTCTACCACATTTGCTATGTGATTTGGAGCAGGTAGCTAGCTTATCCTCCCTAAACTTCAGTTTCATCATCTGTAAAATGGAAATTATAGTAAGACACCCTTCAAAAGACTCTAAGAATTAAATAAATTAATGCATGTAAGATTCTTATCTCAGTGCCTGTCATAGTAAATACAAATATTTATTGAGTGTGTACTCAGGCCATGCTAGCCTGAGGAGAGGGGTCCCAGAAATGATTCAATCCCCTGCCTGGAAGTCCCATCCAAGTCCTTCTTCTCTAATCAGGGTATTCCTGATGGTGGCTGGTATGGTCCAAAAGACCACAGCTGTCCTCCTCTTCACCTATTCTTGACACCTGGCCTCTACCAAAACTCACCCCGTGCAACTCAGATTTCCATTACACTTCATTTCTGATGCTCCAGACCTCCCCCTCTACCCCAGACTGATAGCCCTCCACTCCATTCCACGTTCTCATAAACAGTCACAGCTCTTTGGCTGCAATGACAATACTCAAACTAGCTAAAAGAAAACAAAACAAAAACTGTCGTGGTAATAAAGGGGTACCTAAGCGCTGCATAGAATCAAAACACAGTGGGACTTCACAGAACATCAACAGGGACAGATACAGCCATGGGGCGTCTACTTCTACGTGAACCTGTTAGAATCTCCCAACCCTCTCTGCCCTCCAGTTTTCTCTGCTTAGTCACCACTCACCAGTGTTTCACTTTATCTTTTAAGTTTCTCTCAAGGACAATCTGGTTTCCTAAGTCTCCTCCTATGCATAATCTGCCTTTGAGGCAGGTGCCCATCCATACTTCAATAGATGGCCAGAAGGGCAGGGCATAGGACATAAGCATGGCCAGTCATGCCCTCTCCTTCAGCAGAAGTTTCATAAGAGGTTTAATGCTCAAAGAACAGGTTATAGGCTGTCATAACATTATCTGTGTTGACATGAGGCCATTAATCCATCTCTGGTTTTCACTTAGAGGGCTGGGGAAGTCTGTTGGGAAGAAAGAATAAAGCCAAAGGAAAGGGTGTAGTGAGATTGGGGTGTACTGGCAAGGAGGTTTGGTAGAGGTAAGAAGAGGCCCAGTAGAGTAGACAACCAGAGTTACTGCCAAGGGCCTGGGATCAGAGCCAAGAAGGAGCAGTGCAGTGTCAAGTCAAACAAGTGAGGCAGGCTGGATAAACAGAAGAACCTCACAAAGGTCGGAGACCAACAGGGTTAGGAGCAACATGGAACCAGGTATAAATACAGGTCAAGGAACTGGTTCAGAACTAAGTAGAGACTAGCACCTGTGTGCTGAATCTTACAAGGAATTTGGATTGTCTTGCCATGGTGAATATGCCATTTTAAGATGGCTGTTAGGAGCAGGTCACCCTTTCACTCCAACAGTCACTGTATACAAGCCTCTAATGTAGGAAAAGTACCCTCCTCTCAAGTGTATGAAACTCCAGACACTTGTGGTACCCAATAGCATCTCTAGTGGCTCTGCTCTTTACCTTGATTTCATCTTTCAGGTCCCCACAGCCCCCATCTCCCTTGGAACTTCACGTAATTCCCTGAGCTCACACCAGAAGACCATTTGAAAGACCCTGCCTTGGACTTGGCTCAGTCTATTATTCCTCGCTCACCACCAATCTGTATCCAAGATCAACTTTATGCACCCACTTGCTCCCCTTAGGTGAGTTCCTTTTCTATCCAGTATTTATACTTCCCTTCAGGATATAAAGTTGCCATTATTCCATTATTTCTCACTTCTTAGGATCCTGGCCCAGCGATCAGCCATCAGACCTAATGGCTCTAGTCATTGTCTTTCCTAAGAGCCGCCATTAGGTAAATAGCACCCAAGATGACCCCCGGCTCAACAGTGTGCCTTCCCATCTGCCCAACACTCCATGGTCAGCCTGGCCTCTCCCCAGCCCCATTCTTGCATTTTACACAACATCTGGACTCCCTTCAACTCCTCTTTGACTTGTTAATTTGACTAGCATATTTACCTAGGACCTACTCTGTGAGAGACACTACCTAGGCACTTTGACAGCATTTTTCTTTAGTTTCTAAGAGTTTATACTCCGTGGGAAGATAAAACCTCTAAATCAACTATTAAAATATAATGTGATATATGTCCTTACATAATGATGCAACAGAATGCAGTGAGAGTAAGGAATAATAGAATTTATCCCAGGCTGGGGCAATCCTGGAAAGCTTCCAGGAGAAGGAGACACAAACAGAATTTTGAAGAGTCATACTAAACTGACTACCTGAAGAGGATTGAGGAGGAAGAAGATGAAGAGACAGAGCATTCCAGGCAGAAGAACACTATGCTCAAAGTAGGAGACCCGAAATGGACTATCGTTTGAAGAACTACACAATTTTTCAGCTGTATGGCATTTTTTCCCAGGAATTTATACTCTGAGAGGTAGTGTTGGAGAAAAAGGTAAGAGCAGGACCTTGAGGGGTGACTACCCAAGCTAAAGAGTTTGTGGAAGCTATCTATTGATTTTAAGTAGGCAAGAGATACAATTGAATCCATGTTGACGAGTTCGACAGAAGACAAAAGTATTGTCCTGTCTCCCTCTGAATGCCACACTGAGAGACCACCCTTCTGCCCACCCATATCTGCTGTGGGGCCTCTGGAAAGAAGTACCCATCCATGGGCCAAAGAAGGCAGGAGGCTGGAAGGACTTGATTAGAGCAGGGGAAAGAGCAGTTTGACCTCCCGAATGACTTTGCAGCCTCTACTTTGCTGAGCACAGCAAAGAAAAATAAATCATCCTTCAAATGGCAAGGGTCAGGGCTTGCTGCAGGACTGCCTAATTAGGTGTAAGATTACATTGCAGGTCTGGTTACAGGAGGCCGACAGGAATCAAATCCAACAGCACCAGACCAGAACAAGCAAGATCTTGCTCAGAATGAAAACAGGAGAAATAGAAGGCCTGCCACCATCCCTTCCTAACCTCCCAGCTACCAAATTTGAGTAGCCAGATAATAAAGGATTTCAAAAAAGGGAGAAAAATGATCTCCTAAGATTTTATATTCAGTTTCATTTCTGATGCAGATCTCTGATTACTGACAGGTAAGTTATAAAAGAATCAAGAAAGTAGGAGATGACCATAAACAGCTTATTTGTTATTAAACATTACTGAAAAGTAATTGGCCGCCTTCTGTAAAGCATTGCACTGTCTACAGGATACACAAAAGTTATTAAGATATGACCCTTTCTCAATGAGCTTACAGCCTGATGGGGAAGAACAACCCAAAAACTCAGAACAAATATTTCTGTGTTAGGGGTTTTTGCTCTTATTGATAGAGTGGGTTTCAGTGTACATGGAGAGCACTCAGAATGTTGTCACAGAAGACATCAGTTTGAACTGAGTCTTTAAAATTGGAGTTTATCACATGATGAAAAGAGGAAACTGCTTACTCAAGAGCAGAGATATGAGAAAATACAAGGCATTTTAATGAATAACGAGGACTACATTCCCTTGATTCTAAGAGTTCATTCATTGCCAGTCATATCACTAAAAAATTATCTACTCATCATAGCATATACTTGTCCCCACCCATACAGACTATTTTCTTCTTTTATGTCACAAAGTGTTCTATGTTCAACCCGAAGATTCTTATGAATCATTTTTAGACATTAGAAGTTATGCAAAGCATAAGAATGACTCATGATTTTTTGTAAAATATGCTCAACATCTTGACCTCATTTATACCTTTAGGATTGACAGTATAAATTTTAGAAGTATCTTAAAATACCAGCGTTTCATTTTGCATTGCTTTTTTTTTTTTTTTTTCCTGAGACAGAGTCTCACTCTGTCACCCAGACTGGAGTGCAGTGGCACAATCTCAGCTCACCGCAACCTCCACCTCCCAGGTTCAAGTGATTCTCCTACCTCAGCCTCCCAAGTAGCTGGGATTACAGGCACTCGCCACCATGCCAGACTCATTTTTGTATTTTTAGTAGAGATGCGGTTTTACCATGTTGCTCAGGCTGGTCTCAAACTCCTGACCTCAAGTGATCCACCCGCCTAGGCCTCCCAAAGTGCTGGGATTACAGATGTGAGCCACTGCTCCAGGCCTGCACTGCCCATTTGATAGTACTCATAGATTTCCTCCCCTTAATTGGTTTATGCAATACTAGAAATTAACCTTCTCTTAGTTTTATTATATCTCTTGATGATTCATCCATTTTGTCTAAGTCAAAAAAAAATAGAAAGCCTAAACACTACATAACTATTAAAGAAATTGAGTCACTGTTTTTAAATCTTGTTGCTGCTATGAAAGCTCCAGGCTTAAATGGATGATTTTAATAAGTTCTACCAAACTCTCAAGGAATAATTACAATTTTATATAAACTCCTTAAGAGAACAGATGGAGGGATACTCTCAAACTAGTTTTATAAGATTAGTGCACTTTTTATGCCAAATCCAGACATGGATGATATGAAAAATAAAAATTACAGACCACTGCCACTCTTGGACAGAGATTCAAATATTCTAAACTCAATTTTTTCAAGTTGGTTCTAGCAATGAATAAAAAACATAATACAATTTGATAATGTTTCATTTATCTCAGGAATGCAAGTTTGGCTTGGTATCTAAAACCCATTGACATAATTAATTCATTTTACTAACAATAAAGAGAGGTTATCAACCCCAATAATATTTTTAATATTCAATAAAATAGAATAGTTTTATAATTTAAAATTCTTATAGAACTAGGAGTAGAGGAAAACTTTTTTAATCTGATGAAAGTTACCTATCAGAAATCTATAGTAAAGTATACTTAAAGGTAAAATGTTAGAAACAATTTGCTAGGAGAAAAGAACAAAACAATAATTCCCTATTCAATATTGGTCCTAACCAATGCAGTAAGTCAAGAAAAGAAATAAAAACGATAAGAAAAGGAAAACTCATAGTGTATTTGGTAATTTTCAATTGTCAGAAACTGAAAAAATATGCCAATTATTATAATAAGAGACTAAAGTGATTGATATAACATCAATATGCAAAAGTGAATTACAAATTAAGATTGAAGAGGCACTTGAAATAAGTAACCTTTGAAAAGGTAGCATCTATTCAAACATAAAATGCATAAAGTATATATTATATGTTGGGGGGAGATGTGTGTACATACATACAAGACCTCTAGGGAGAAAAGTGTAAAACAATTCAGAAAAAACTAATAAATGTAAATGTTTACTATGTTCATGGATAGGAAAAGTCAATATCATAGAGATGTCATTTTCCTGAATGTAATCTATAGTATCAAATTGTTTCAACCAAAATTCCAACAGGAAGTTTTTATGAAACTTAAAAAGATTTGTACCTAGATTATATAAATTTTTATCGGATCAGATGGCTTAAAAAGCTGTATATAGCATTAACACACTGAAGTAATACAGCAAGGATAGACTGACTGATATGACAGAACAGAGAACCCAGATACCATCCTGAATACATTGCAACTTGGTCTATGCTGTGGTTTGAATGCTTTCCCTAGAAGTTCCTGTGTTGGAAACTTAATCCCCAATGCAACAGTGTTGGGAGGTGGGACCTAATAAGAGGTGATTGGGTCATGATGGCAGCGCCCTCATGAATGAATTAATATTATTATCACAGGAGCAGGTTAGTTATAACAAGAGTGGGTTGCTGTAAAGTGAGTTTGGTTGCTAGTGCCTTTCTCTCTTGTCTCGTATGCCCACCTGCTTTTCCATCATGTTTGACGCAGCAAAAAGGCCCTCACCAGATATAGTCCTTCAGCCTTGGACATTCCAGCCTCCAGAACTGTAGAAAATTGATCTCTGTTTTTTATAAACTACCTAGTCTATGATATTATATTATAGCAGCCAAAAATGGACTAAGACTGGAAATTGGTACCAGGAGTGGCTTTGTTGCTACAACAAATAGCTGAAAATGTGGAAGCAGCTTTGGAACTGGGTAATGGGTAGTGGATGGAATAATTTGGAAGGACAGGCTAGAAATAGCCTGTATTGCCATGAACTGATGAATATTAAGGGCAATTCTGGTGAAGGCTCAGAAAAAGTCTGCAGGGAAAGCTTGAATTTTTTGAGAGATTACTTAAGTGCTCATAACCAGAATGCTGATAAAAGTACAGATAGTAAAGACCATTTTGATGAGATCTCAGATGGAAATAAGGAACAAGGTATTAGAAATTATTAAACTTTTGTGGCAAGAGATGTTCCTACGAAGATTCAGGACAGCATTGTTTATAATTTTAAAATATCAGAAATAGTACAAATGTTTGTCACAGGAAATGGATAGAGTAGGAATTGATGCTATAAAACACTGTGCAGCAGTGAAAATGAATGAACTATGGCTTCATGTATCCATGTAGATAAATCTCAAAAACATAATACTCAATAGGAAAAACAAGTCTCAAGATAATATACACAATATGACACCTTTATTATGGGCCCAGTATATAAATGTTCACAATATATTGGGTGCATACAAATGTAGGAAAGATGGCCTACTTAATAAATGGTTCTCCCAATGGTAACCATATTCAACTACCCAGAATTTATGTTTATCATTATGTTGCTTTTCATTATACCTTGTTAAGATATAACTAAGATATTATACATCTTAATATCTAATTATTAATATCTAATTAATTATATCAATATAAAATTAAGATATCTTATTAAGACATAATGAAAAGCAACATAATGATAAACATAAATTCTGGGTAATTGAATATGGTGACCTTTGAGAGAGAAGAGAAGAATACAGTAGAGGAGAAGCATACTGGGGGCTTCAAAAGAATTTCTGTTTCTAAAAGTAAGGAGCAATCACATGAGGATTTATTTTTCTTTATACCTGATATATACATAATACAGTCATTTCTATGAATGAAATATGTCTCAACAAGAAGTACTTTTTTGTATAAGCACCATACAAAATCTGAATATAGGTCTATATAAAAATATCACTTCTAATTCTACTATCCATAGGTAACTACTGCTAGCATTTTTAATATTTTACTCTTTATTTTATGTACCACTACATTGAAAATTTCTTTGAAACACACCTAAAAGGGTTGACTAGAAGCCTTTGTTAAATAAGAATTTGGCACTGGCATGACACCCAAATCTATCAGTGTAGGTCATAGCATTATAATGGGGATACCTTCTGAGAAATGCATCCTTAGGTGATTTCATCATTGTGCAAATATTAGTGCATTTACACAAACCTATAAAGTACAGCCTACTGCACATCTAGGCTATGTGGTATGGCCTATTGCTCCTAGGCTATAAACCTGTACAGCATGTTACTGGTCTGAATACTGTAGGCAATTGTAGCACAATGGTAAGTATTTGTGTGTCCAAACATATCTAAACAGAAAAGGTAATGCATTGCACTGTGATGGCTACCACATCACTAGGCAATAGGAATTTTTCAGTGCCATTGTGATCTTATAGGACCACCTTTGTATATGTGGTCTGTTGTTGACCACAACATTGTTTGTGACAGTAATTGATTTTGAGGCCACATACACACACGCACATACACACACATTCATATATGTACACATAGATTAAAGGGCCACTTTATCACAACTTACTCCCCTAACTGGCCACTGGCAAATTTATCTTAACAATAACTACAAAATGCATCCCGGAAATGTTAAAGTATGAAAAAATATACATCTTGAAATCTAAAAAACATTTTAGCTTAGTACAGCTGAAGCAGAGAGTATGAATGGAGGAAGAAAGGAGTAGGAAACAACCAGACATGAACTTGGAAAACAAAATTGGCACCAGATTATAAAGGGCTTTATATGAAAAGCTAAGGTACCGCTAGTCTATATATACTACAGTGGCCAAACATTTTCTATTTCGCAGTTTTTCTCATAAAGAGAATAGAAATGAGTATATTTAAATCTTAAGTGTATATTTAAATTTTTATAAATTACATTCAAATATTTCTCTACCTATAGATGAAATATGAGAAGTAATGTTTTCTTCCTATACACCAAAGAATTGTCTTGAGCACCTCCTGAAAAACACACACCCCTCTGTAGAGCCCTCTGCTCTAAATAAGATCTACGGAAGCGTTCTCAGCAGGGGCAATGTGCTCAGATTTGCCATCTGCCCAATATAGATTCAATGAGGGTATGAATGTGTAAATTCTTCAATAACACATGAACATCCAAGGCATAGACCCTGGCAGCACTGTTAAAAATAGGTTGAAGAGGGAAAGATGAAGGAAGGGTTGCAGGTGTCTAGTTGCTCAGGAGAAAGGGTTTGGATAAAACTGCATTCTTGCCTCCAACAACAGGGAGTGACGGAGTGGAAGGGACAGTTTTGAGATTTATTTCCTAAGTAAATCTGAAAGATCTGACAAGTAGATTAGATGCAACAGCTAAGAAAGAGGGAGTTGTTAAGGATGATCATAATGTGATGGATCTTGACACTCCTACCTGGAACACAGAACACAGGAAGAGAAGTCAGACTGCAAAAGCACGAGGGAAGGTTGGTTTCAACCTGTGAAGTCTAGGGGTCTACAGAATGTCTAGTGTGTGGGCTACGGCAAAAGAAAGAGAAGCAGAATAGAGGATCCTTGGCTGCAGCTACATCATACAAAGCAAGCCAGGTCACGCTTCCTTAGACACAACTGAATACACGTTTGTCTGTAGAACTAAAACAAAAGTTTTACAAAATGTTTGTTCATTCTTTATGGAATACACTCTAATATTTTTTACTCTACTATTTTTAATGCCAATAGCAATCCATAAAATTGATTTCATGACCACAGAGTTTGGAAAACACTAGTCTAGAATAATTGGTTTAAATAGAACACTTCACTTTAATCACTCAAGCATCATGCCGTGAAAAGATATTGGATGGAATCGAATGGGCTTCAGTTTGAATTGCGGAATTACCATTTACTAACTGGGTAACCTTGGGCAAAGCTGAGTCTCATGGTCTTCACTGGTAAAAACTGAAATAATAGTATTTTTCTTGCAGGCTTGTGGCGATGATTATATACAAGAGCATAAACATGTTACCTGACACATGGCTCACTTTGAGTTTCTGTTAGCCCCCCCTTATTGTTTCTCCAGCATTGATACATAACAGAAACTAATAAAGCATTTCTCTCAAGAAACCCACTAATTTCCTGACAATGAATATCAAGGCTTAACCAGTCAACCCAAAAATTAGAAAAAGAATTAAGACTGAGGTGACCTTGTTTTACCCAGAGATTTAAGGATGATTTATGCTGATATATGGATGCCTTGAAATCTTGCATAATCTGGGTATCCTGTGTCCCAGCAAGGTAATTTTTGGCCAAAGGAAATTGCCCTGTGTTGTGAAATACTTGAGACACATTGTTATATTCAAGTCATGGCTCAATGAAAAGTCAGCATGGACCCAGAGGGCAGAATTGAGAAAGGATTCTTGTTGTTGATGGATGTTTTGAAAACACGATGATTAAACACATAATTCAAAAAATAAAAGTCTGATATCTCCAAAACCTGAACAAGCCTTAAAAATATATACCATGGCAATCAAAAATAAATGCTAAAGGGAAGCAAAGAAGGAATTTCTTTGTTAATAAAATGAGTTTTGGGATCAAACAGACCTCCTCAAACCCCTACTATGGGATTCAATAATCATATAACCTTGAACAAGTACTTACCCTCTGTGCCTTCGTTTTCTCATCTGTAGAACAGGGATACACAATAATCTGGCTTACGGTATGTGAAACTCTTAGCACAGTGCTGGACACATAGTTCAATAATAGAGTGTAGTGAATGGTAGTTTCAAACAAAAAAGAAACAGCAGAGGGGATTAAATATGTTAGAAATCTATTTCTAACTCATGTACTAATAGAATTTTGCACTGTCTGATAACTAGAGAAAAGTCACAGTCCTTTGTGGCTATACTGGAAAAGTAATCCTATCAGCCATGTTCATTGGATCTTTGCAATTGCAGGTATCTATTTTTTAGAAACCATGATAGCATTCAGGTTTCAGAGAAGAAGCTTTGCAGTTTAGCCTACTACCTAAAGCCCCCATACCTAAGAAAACTCAGACATTTGGAATAGAATAAAACGTTCTTCACAACCTTGTGAAAGTCATCTTTGAAATCTTTGGAAACAATACAACAGCTATGTTTAGCTTTCTAACATATACAGTGTTTTATTTTACTACATCTTATTTTCTGCATTCAAAAATTTGCAATCAAATAGTGAGATACAATAGGTTAGGACTATGACATTTTCTTTCCTTTCTTTCTGATTACAGGGAATTTAAAAAAACAGGTAACACAAAATCTGGACTTTCATGCCTCCATGAAAGCTTTTATTCATGCTGTGACTTAGATTTGAAGTGCCCTTTCCCCTTTTCTTCCCCAAAGTGAATACTCATTCATTCTTCAAGACTCAACTCAAATATCATCTTTTTTTGTCATGGTTTTCCCAACTTGACCCTAACCTACCCACTGCTGACAGAATTAAACATTCCTTTCCTCTGCTACCATAGCTGTTTCTTTCCATGTGACTAAAATATAGCAATCAACCATGAAAATAAATAAGTGGTATTTAGTCTTAAAGATATGTTACATTAGTGGTCCATAAATTAGTTAAGGTTAAACTGTGATAGCAACTAGACCCCCAAAAGTACAATACCACTAACAAATTAGAAGTTTATTTCTCTCTTATTTAACAGTCTAGAGTGGGTATTCCAGGTCAGGGGGCAGCTCTCCTCCATGTGGTCAGTCAAGGACTCAGGAGGAAGAGCACATTGTCAAACTAAATAACGAGAAAGAGAGAGAGGTACTCCTATTTAAAAAAAAAAAAAAAAGATATTTATTCATTCAGGAGCATGGCATTGCAACAGGAATATGCATGCCATAGTAAACTATGTGCATATTCATGGAGGTAAAAAAAGACTAAGGTTTCCAAAGGAAAAATGAGGAGGATTACACATCATTATCTTCGGCTACAAAGATCAATAATAAGGGTGATGCCAGTCCAAGTCTGGACAGACAGCTGTTGGGCAGATGTCCTCGCAGAAGCATTTTTTATGTAAGGCTGTGATGGCCTTTGTGTAAAGTTGCAGTTTCTGTAGAGTCTGAGATAGTTTTGTTATTAAGCATACAAGCATAAGAACTCTATAGCCTTTTCCGGCTCTATTTGTCAGGGATTTTTTATAACACTAGTGACTCAGTTTTGATTTTGACGACATTCAGGCATGAAGGAGGCACATATGCCATCTTAACACCTTCCTGGTAGGACCCATGTCACTTCTACTCATACTCCACTAGAGAGAACTTATTCTCATGGCCACATATAATGCCAAGATGGGGCTGGGAAATGTAGACCCTGGTTTGGAAGTCACATCTGTTCCAGCTATGATCTTATTACCAGAGGAGAGAACAAATTTTGGTGGAAAGCTTACAGCTCCTGCCACACTCCCATGAGGGCAGTGACTTTGCCTTATTCCTCCTCCACATATCCCCAGTGTCCAATAGAGTGCTCAGTAATTTCAACCCTCTTACCACCTCCAAGGCCACCATTAATGCACTCACAGTGCCAACCCCAATGATGTATACTCCCCTTTCTGATTAATTCTGTCCCTTAATACTTACTATTACCTAACACATTATATATTTCATTTTTTTGATTTGTTACATTTCTATCTCCCCCACTAGGATGTAAGTTTCATGAAGGTAAGAAATTCTATTTGTTGGTGTCCCTATCTTATCTTTAGCACCTAGAAGAATGTCTGGCACATTAGAGTTACTGAATAGATAATTGTCAAATGAAAGACTAAACATAGCAACCCTTTTCCTTTGAAGGCTAACCTGTGTAGTGCTCTGAGCACTTCTTCTTGTACTAATCCCCCTGGTTGCTTCTAAAAACAAAACATTAAAAGCCTGTGTTATCAGTGCCCCCAATTGATTTTAATTAACTTCTCAGTCTAAATCATTTGAAAGATTTTTTTAGGGGACCAGATATGTTAACTCACAACCATGTATTCAAGTCTGGGTATTGATTTAGCAACCTTAGATAATAAATCTATTTACAAAGATGATAATCAATGGGATGGAACTTTTAAAAATATAAAGCCACACACAAAGGACAAAAGAAGTACTTAAAACCAGTTCTTGTGTTTGTATAGAACACATACTTTACTCTCAAAGCCCAATGATAATCTGAGTTATAGGCAGCTGCTTCTGAGCTTTGGCAAAGAATCTGCACAGAGTGCAGCTTGACTGTCTCAACAGTCCCAACATGGGCCAGGGAAATGGTCCGGGTGACGTGTCCAGCTGAGATCACACAGGGCTTGCGTCCATGAGAAACTGCAGCTGCTAACATGCAAGTCACTGAAAGATAAGAGAAGTGCTGCTGGCTAGTCAGTCCACAGCGCAAAGGGTCTTTCCAAACTGCCTCAGGGAAAGTCATTGCTATAGCTTGACTTGTCTACCTAAATTCCTATGTTGAAATCTAATCCTCAGTGGGATGGTATTTGGAGATGGGACTTTTGAGAGGTGATTAGGTCATAAGGGTGGAGCCCTCATGAATGTTATTAGTGCCCTTCTGAGAAAAGACTTGAGAGCTAGCTTATGCCTTCCACCACATGAGGACACAGTGAGAAGTCAGCCGTCTGCAAACCAGGGAGTGGGCCCTCACCAGACATTGGACCTGCTGCCACCTTGATCCTGGACTTCTCATCCTCCAGAACTGTAAGAAATAAATGTTTGTTGCTTAAGCCAGCCAGCCTATAGTAATTAGTTAAAGCAGTCCAAACTGACTAAGACAGTTGTCCTGGGCAGCTGAGAATCAAGAAGCTAAGACCTCACACTTTGCTGTTGGACCATGAGCTAGAGATGGGGTATATAAGCCTTGCCTATCATTGGCAACCACATAGACCCCACAGAAAAGACAAACAGCTCAATGAGGGGAAGGACAGATGTAAACTAGCATTTATAAGACCTACTGAATATCAAATACCATGCAGAGTGATTTACATACCTCATCTCTTTTACTCCTTACAACAACCTACCTAATTATAATTATTATGATAAACATATCACACTATTATCCACTTCAAAACACTATTTACTGAAGGCCTACTTAGAGCCTCGTACTGTACCTGGGACAGTGGAACATTAATTTCATTAATTCTTAAAAAGTACTATGGGGTAGATATATTCTCCCTGTTTTATAGATGTAAACCTCCTAAAGCTCAGAGAGGTAAAGAAACTCACCAAGGTTCACCAAAGCCAGGAGACAAATGCCAATCTAAAAGTCTAAGCCTATGTTCCTTTGACTATGCCAAATTACTAAATAATGTAAATGGCAGGTTTCCTTCTAGTTTTAAGTCCCTAAACCATCAGGCTATCATTGTCTGATAGCAATATCCCTGGGGACAGAGGCCAGGCAGGCAGTGCCAAAGAACTTCTTTTCAGCGGTCTGTTGATCCTTAGGGGAACTTTGGTATTAGTTGGCTGTACCTATGACAGAGAGATATGTTAGATACTTCACACCTGGGCATCCACTAAAGCCTCCTGCTTTCAGTTGTGTGGTCTCTGATTACATTCAAAACAAGCTGGCAGGTTAATCATCCTAAAACCAAAGTGCTCCTGTCACTCCACTGCTCAACATGAGAGGGTTCCTGCTTTCATCATTAAATTCAGTTTCCTAAACCCAAACAATAAGAAGCTGCATAGTGTGACTGCAATAGTGAAACCTAACACACACTGTACATTTCCCATGTGCCAGGCATTGTCCTAAGCACTTTTGTTGTGTTAAGCCATGTAAACCCTATGATGTAGTGACTATTAATGTCACTCCATTTTCCAGAGCAAAAAACAGGCACAGAGCTTTGCATAGAACTTTCCACAAGCTTTCTTTGTAGACTCTGAGAAGGCACGATATGTAGCTACTAAAGGAGTATCATGAAGAAAGCTTATGGAAAGTTCTATGCAAAGCTGTTCCTTCTGTGTAGCTACCACCTCTACAGGGCCATAGCTAAGGATTAATTTGGGAGCAGAGGAAGGAGAATGTGTCCAAGTGGGGACCTGCCAGGTACTTCTGTGTCTGTTCATCACCACATCTGCCCATAATAACTTTCTTAGAGTAAGGACTACTGCCCTACCCCAGCCTTCCAAATTTCATGCTTGTTCCTTTTTTGCCAGCTGTAATCTAGAATGACATAGGAATAGAAATTATGGAAAATGCAGTTCCCATCTTAACCAGGTTGACATAACTCAGTGCATCAAGGAAATGAAGGAAGTGATGCACTGTCCATGTGCTCTCTATAAGAGAAGACTTCCAAGCAAAGGGAACTGCAGGTGCCAAGGCCCAGAGATGGTGTATTGGTCCATTCTCACACTGCTAATAAAGACATACCTGAGACTGGATCATTTATAAAGGAAAGAGGTTTAATTGACTCACTGTTCAGCATGGCCAGGAAAGCCTCAGGAAACTTACAATCATGGCAGAAGAGGAAGCACACACACCCAGTTTCACATGATGATGGCAAGGAGAATTGCAGAGAGAAGGGGAGGAGGGGAAGCCCCTTATAAAACCATTAGATCTTGTGAGAATTCACACACTATCACGAGAACAGCATGGAGGTAACTGCCCCCATGATTCAATTATCTCCCACCAGGTCCCTCACACAACATGTGGGATTATGGGAACTGAGAATAAGCAAGTCCCTTCTGCCCATGACCCTGTAAAATCAAAAGCAAGTTAGTTACTTCCTAGACACAATGAGGGTACAGGCATTGGGTAAATACACCCATTCCTAATGGGAGAAATTGGCCAAAATGAGGGGCCTATAAGTCCCACGCAAGTCTGAAATCCAGTGGGGGCAGTCAAATCTTAAAGCTCCAAAATGATCTCTTTTGTCTCCATGTCTCACATCCAGGTCACTCTAATACAAGAGGTAGGTTCCCACAGTTCTTGGGCAGCTCCAACCCTGTGGCCTTGCAGGGTACAGCCTCCTTCCTGACTGCTTCCATGGGCTGGCATTGAGTGTCTGTGGCTATTCCAGGTGCATGGTGCGAGCTGTGGGTGGATCTACCATTCTGGTGTCTGGAGGACACTGGCCCTCTTCTCACAACTTCACTAGGCAGTGCCTCAGTAGGGACTCTTTGGGGGGGCTCTGACCCCACATTTCCCTTCTGCACTGCCCTAGCAGAGGTTCTCCATCAAGGCTCTGCCCCTGCAGCAAACTTCTGCCTAGACATCCAGGTGTTTCCATACATCCTCTGAAATCTAGGCGGATGTTCTCAAACCTCAATTCTTGACTTCTGTGTACTCACAGGCCCAACACCACATGTAACTAACCAAGGCCTGGGGCTTGCACCCTCCAAAGCAATGTCCTGAGCTGTACCTTGGCCCCTTTTAGCCACAGCTGGAGCTGAATCAGCTGGGATGCAAGGCACTTTGTTCTGAGGCTGCATAGAGGAGAGGGGGCCCTGGGCCCAGCCCAGTAAACCATTTTTCCATCCTGGGCCTTTGGACCTATGATGGGAGGGGCTGCTGTGAAGGTCACTGACATGCCCTGGAGACATTTTCTCTATTGTCTTCATGATTAACATTTGGCTCCTTTTTACTTATGCAAATTTCTGCAGCAGGCTTGAATTTCCCCCCAGAAAATTGACTTTTCTTTTCTATTACATCATCAGGCTACAAACTTTTATGCTCTCCTTCTTCTTGAACCCTTTGCCTCTTAGAAATTTCTTCTGCCAAATACCCTAAATCATCTCTTTCATGTTCAAAGTTCCATAGATCTCTGAGGCAGGGGCAAAATGCCACCAGCCTATTTGCATAGCAAGAGTGAACTTTACTCCAGTTCCCAACAAATTCCTCACCTCCACCTGAGACTACCTCAGCCTGGACTTCATTGTCCATATCACTATCAGCATTTTGATCAAAGCCATTCAACAAGTCTCTAGGAAGTTCCAAACTTTCCCACATTTTCCTGTCTTTCCCTGCCTGTTACCCAATTCCAAAGTCACTTCCACATTTTCAGGTATCTTTACAGCAGCGCCACACTCTCTGCAGAACCAATTTACTATATTAATCTGTTCTCACACTACTAATAAAGACCTACCAAAGACTGGGAAATTTATAAAGGAAAGAGTTTTAATTGACTCACAGTTCAGCATGACTGGGAAGGCCTCAGGAAACTTACAATCATGGCAGAAGGGGAAGCAAATACTCCTGCTTCACATGGTGGCAGCAAGGAGAAGTGCAGGGCAAAGCAGGGTTAAGGAAGCCCCTTATAAAACCATCAGATCTCATGAGAACTCACTCACTATCATAAGAACAGCATGGAGGTAACCATCCCCATGATTCAATTATCTCCTAGTAGGTCCCTCCCACGACATGTGGGGATTATGGGAACTACAATTCAAGATGAGATTTGGGTGGGGACACAGCCAAACCATATCAGGTGGGATTGCACTTGGCATGATAAAAGTAATGGGACACGACTCAGACTATTTAAATTTCATGGTTTGGCAGGAAACATTCCATTATTTACAGAATGCTTTAATGTACCTGTAAGCAATACTAGGATACCTGTGGTTGAAAACTACAGCCTAGAATATAACATAGTGAGTACTCAATAAATGACTGCTGAATGAATGAAAAATATCATAGCGGTCCTATTTTTGGTTTTGTTTTTCTTCTGCTCAATATTCAACTCCTTTTCCTATTTGTGGGTAATTCTCCGTAGTGTGGAATATTAGTGCCTTTTTAACAGGATAAAAAGATCTCTGAGGAATTACTAGGCACTGGCCTTAATTAAACACTAAATCCTAGGACCCAGAACCTACTGCAGTCCAGCAGGTAGAGTAAGGGTTTATAGAAGTCAAGTGATAAATGAAATTTTAATTCAATTTGCATTGTAAGCTCTGTGGAAACATCAAATCCATCCTGGAATTTCTGAATATAGTCCTGGAAACATAATATCAGGCACTCACATTGGCTTCCACACACTGGCTTCCTAATCTGTGAAGAAAGAGCCAAGCAGGAAAGGCCAAGAAAGGCCCCTGCAGTCCCCCTCCCCCAGCAAAATGTATATGAAAAGCCCTTTCACATCCCTGGAGGCAGAAATTACTGAGAATACTATCTTCATCAAAGAATGACAAAATGCAGAAATAGTGATTCCCACCACATCCTCCCTACCTGCCGGATTCCACAACTCTAGGGTGCCATTTACATATGGAATATAATGTGATTGACTCTGTTGGAGCTATTTGGTGCAGTAACCCCACAAAGGCCCTTTAATTATCCAATTATCCAATTATCCAATCTATATATATCCAATAGGATATACATAGACACATAAGAGGAGATTTATTATTGAAATTGCCTCACACAATTATGGAAGCCAAGAAGTTCTATGATATGCTGTCTGAAAGCTGAAGAACCAGGAATGCTAGTGGTGTAATTCAGTCTAAGTCCAAAGTCCTGAAAACAAGGAGAGCTGATGATGTAATTCCCAGTCTGAAGCCAAAGGCGCAAGAACCAGGACTACTGATATCTGGGGGCAGGAGAAGATGGATGCACCAGCCCAAGCAAAGAGAGATTATTCACCCTTCCTCTGCCTTTTTGTTCTATTTTGGCCATCTACAGATTAGATGACACCTACCCTTACTGGTGAGGGTGGGATCTTCTTTACTCAGTCTACCTATTCAAATGCTAATCTCTTCCAGGAACACCTTCACAGATACACCCAGAAATAATGTTTACACCAGATATTTGGGCATCCCTTAGCTCAGTCAAGGTGACACATGAAATTACCCATCCTATCTAGTTTGGCTGATATAGTAGATAAAAGATAATTTGGAGCGATGCTACACTGCTAAAATTGTCAGTGACACCTGGAGTAAGAGGTAAAACATTGTAGATGATCAGAATCACTGGTTCTCTGGAAGAAAGCAAAACCTTCTCCCCATCAGAATGTGGAGAATCTGTGATTTTTCCACCTTCATTCTACATTTGGGAAAAATCAAGACAGAGAGGAAAGTGACCCATCCGGGTTCACAAAACCATCAAGCAGAGATGGGTCTAAAGTCCCTTCCCTGCAGTGAAAGCAACTAGAGTTCAGCAAGTTCACACTAAAGTAGAAGATGCAAGCTTTGTAGACTTTGAGCCATGGCTAGAAGAGAAAATGCTTCCTGGGAAAGACAAAAGAGAGACACAAAGGAAAAATTAAAAATTGACTGTTGGCCATAAGTGATACTTTGGATGCAATTTCTTCCCAAATCTGACGTCATTTGGGAGCTTATTTTCAATTGAATGTTGTTTTTAGAATCAGTTGGGGCTAGTATCAAGGGAACACAATTGACAGATGCCTTTTCCTTTTTAGTTTCCAAAAAAGCAGGTGGCTGCAGCCAGTTCCCCAGGTGCCCAAGTTTGCATTCTAAAGTTATCTGGGTTTGGGAACAGCCCCAATCCCAAAGACTCATCATCTGCATAGGGAGATGATTCAATCCACTGACACTGGCCATAACCATTTAAGAGCATTTTATGATGTGGTCCAACTGTACATCAGGGACTTGGCCAATATGTAAAGGAATTTTTTTTTAGGATTAGCCCCCCTTTTTCTGAAAATAAGTAGAACATTTGAAATATTCTCTTAACCACCTGGGCCCTGAGATAGAATTTTATGATGTACTTTATAAAATACAAGTCTTAGAAATAACACACTACATTTGCAACTAAGGATCTATTCAGAACCCCTGGCAAATGCACTCTGAAGGTCAAAAGGATAATTAAGGAAAAGGAAGAGTTTGCAGGGGGCGTTCAGAGGTTACACCCGAATGGAAAGAAAAACTTAGCTAGGATTTCTGTGAAGTTTTGATGAGACTCAAAAAATTCTAACAGCATGTTCTAAAGCCAGTGGGCTCTAGCTGTTTCCTGCTTTGTTGGGGAAGTGAAGTTGGGAACCAATGTTAGCATCAATAGTTACCATCACCCTAGAAAGAAAACTGCTTACTGTATTAGTCCGTTCTCACACTGCTGATAAAGAAATACTCAAGACTGGGTAATTTATAAAGAAAAAAAGGTTTAATAGATTCACAGTTCCACGTGGCTGAGAAAGCCTCACAATCATGGTGGAAGGTGAAAGGCACATCTTACATAGCAGCAGGCAAGAGGAAATGAGAGCCAAGCAAAAGGGGTTTCCCCTTGTAAAACCATCAGCTGTTGTAAGACTTATTCACTACCACGAGAACAGTATGAGGGAAACCGCCCCCATAATTCAATTATCTCCCACCAGATTCCTCCCACAACACGTGGGAATTATGGGAGCTACAATTCAAGATGAGATTTGGGTGCGGACACAGCCAAACCATATCACTTACTTGGCAGTAAATTGCCTTTTGATTGTAGCTACATTAGGTTGTGGAGAATCTTAGGGAAGCAAAGAGTAGCTCCCAAACAGAATGTGCCTTCACCTTTTCTGGCCTCAATTGCTGCTTTGTTTGCAGCTTGCCTCCTGCCCAGCTCACATCCCACCTTCTACTATGAATATCTGCGTCCATGAGTAACCTGTGTAAAGCCAGAAGGTCTCATGACCATGTATCTATAAGATGCCACATCAGAGGAACATTGGTCTCACTCTGAAAGCTTTAGGTAATAATGGAGAGTTTCACTGTTGGTTTTGTCAAAAGCACAACACCAGACACTGAACAGCACCCCATCCAGAAATCCTTTGGAAAAATCACCTTGAAGCACTTTCACTCTCCTCCCAGTTTCATCCTCATGGAAAATGGGTTAAGTCCATCTCCTCCCTCCCTCTCTCCCCTACCCCCTGCACTCAGGCCTTTCTCCAGTTTGTTGCCAGCTTGGTCTCAAACAACTCATGCCCCCTTACCCGCCCCACTACAGCAGTCTCTGTGGGAAACGTAGGCTGGGTCCCTGCTCTGCTTTTTCTCCCTTGTGAAGCAGCCATCTTTTTATCCTGCCATCTCTCTGCCTGAGCATAAGCTCCACCAGACCAGGACTGTGTCTAACTGCTTTCTCCATCCCCTGTGGCCTGCACAGCAATTTGTGTATAATAAAAGCACCATGAATGTTTGTGTTGCAACAAAGTCATGAAGCAATGGAGACGGGGGTTTCTCTGCTTGCCTCTCTTAAAACTCTGACCATTAGCAGTACCTGTCCCAGTCTCACCCAAAGTCTACCAGCTACCAGGTACACTAGCTTCCTAGGTCTCCCATAACAAATCACCATAAACTTATGTGGCTTAAAGCAACAGAAATATATTCTCTCACAGTTCTAGAGGCTAGACATGCTAAATTAGGGTACTGTCAGCACTGTACTCCCTCCCAAGGCTCTAGGGGAAAATTCTTCCTTGCCTCTCCTGGCTCCTGATGGCCCCAGGCGCACCTTGGCTTGTGACAGTATGCCTCCAATCTCTGCCTCCCTCTTCACATGGCCTTCTCTTCTGTGTCTTCACCTGGTTTTCCTATAAGCACACCATATTTAGGGCCCATCCTAACCGAGTATGACCTCATCCTAACCTAAGCAACAACATCTGCAAAGACCCTATTTCCAAATTCTGAGTTTCAGGTGGACATGAATTTTGTGGGGACAACCTAATATAATAGGAAACAAAAACAATGTTTTGAGGTGGTCAGATCAAATTATGCTTTGTTGTTCACGATCTACATGGGTGATGCCATATAGTGGAGCTCTCGCCTTGTTGGTCAAGGAGTAGCTAATTGTTTCAACAAATATACATTTTATCTAGTACATTCTTACAGAAGAAATTTCTATCCCCTGCATCTCTAGGCATTGCTAGAATTGGTTTGCATCCCATGTTTTTCCATCCCAAATGCTGCAGAAGCCACAGTTACCATGTCCTGTCTGCTGAGGCAGAAGCAGATTTAGGTTTGGTGCCGCCTGACATGGATATGATTTGTTCCTGTGGAGGTCCACCTAGAGAAAAAGAACACAAAATGGTAAATACAAAATTAGGTTCAAGAGTGAATATTTATTTAGAATGAGAAAATAAATCACCAAAGTTTATACATTTTTAAAGGCTGACAAATATAAAATCCCAAATGTTTGTTTGTAAGTTTTTCCCATTTTTGGCTGTGTCTTGTTCACTTTTTGACATGACAGCAATTTTATCGTATTTTCTGCAGAAGGAACAGAAAATTGAACCCTTCTTCCTCTAGTGTGGACTTTTGAAATTTGTTTTCATTGTGGATCCTTTAGAAAAAGTTTCAGCTCCGCAAGTTGTTACTGGGAATGTCATGTAAAATTTCAGGATTATCATCAAAGTCAGAAAAAAAAAAAACTCTATACAGTTTTTTTCATAGATGAGCTGTAAGATTTTTAGAGCATGTCAAGTTTTATTGTGTGTGACCAACCTTAAATACTTTTTGAGTTGATGACATTGATTAACTAGCTTG